>NC_000014.9:29611713-29914743 GCF_000001405.40 Homo sapiens
AGAAAGAGAATATTAAAAGTGTGAATTATTACCAAAAAAAAAAAAAACAAACGCTGGAATCTACATGAAGCTGTTTAATGGTTTATAAAAATTGAAAAATGGAGCAAATATCTGGATTTTTCTTCTACTTGGCATCAAATGTCTGGAAATGAAGACATATGGAAAACTTTTTATTTCCTGTTAATCTACCTGGCTGGAAACAGTAACACAAAAATCCAATCTAGGCTTGGCATTAGATTTTAAGTGTAATTTTTGACAAATCCTATTACTGTAGTACAGCTTCTATATTTAGATGTCAGCACACCAAAAAGCATAACATTCCATGATATGCTAAATAATGTGTGCAGACACATAATCCTTCGGATGTATTATATACCAGATAATGGTAACTAAAGTGAGCATGTAGGGTCTACTGGACAAGGTTAGATGACAGAATATCATGTGCAAAAAGTCAAATGGTAATACCTTACATCTGTATAAGGTTCTGTGGCAAAATGAGTTTAACTAACATATTCTTAAAATTAAACAAGTTTTCAATTATGGGATTTCTCAGAATTGTTAATAAGTAAAAGGCTATGTTTACTTCTAAGACGTGAGTGACCTGGATACAGTACATACACAACATTTTCCAAATTTTCTTGATGAAAAAATGTGTTTTCACCTCTTCTGTGAAGGGGTTCAAAAGACTAGCGTTCTTTGAAAAATATGCTGGGAAATAATGATTTTTAAAATGCTTTATATAGGAGTTAATTTAGTCCCCAAAACACTCCTATGAAGGAAATAGACCAAGTCAGCATGATTTCTAATGCACAGTTAAGGAAACCAGGGTGGAAAGAGATTTACTAAAAAATGGAAAATTTTTACTTGAAACCTAGCCTTTTGACACTAACTTTTTACGATGATTTAACTTCTGACAGAATATCTATTTGGAAAATTTTCTAAATTAATTTTCTTTTTCTTATAATAGATAGTTGTTTTCCCTATTTTAGACATATATACATAACCTATACAGTTTATTTTGGAACATGCAAAAGACAGTACGATTTCCTTAGAGCTCCAAAACATGTCTTGCCTATAGAAATAGTTTCATAAAAATTCATGTAGGGCGGGCACGGTGGCTCACGCCTGTAAACCCAGCACTTTGGGAGGCCTAGGCGGGTGGATCACGAGGTCAGGAGATCGAGACCATCCTGGCTAACAAGGTGAAACCCCGTCTCTACTAAAAATACAAAAAATTAGCCGGGCTTGCTGGTGGGTGCCTGTAGTCCCAGCTACTCGGGAGGCTGAGGCAGGAGAATGGCGTGAACTCGGGAGGTGGAGCTTGCAGTGAGCCAAGATCATGCCACTGCACTCCAGCCTGGGTGACAGAGCGAGACTCTGTCTCAAAAAAAAAATTCTTCATGTAATATAATGCAAGGAAAGAAATATTTGAAGAAATATAGTACATATTAGATGAAACAACAAAAATATAAGCCAACATCTCAATACACACTGAAAGAGAAAGCACCCACATTTTGCACGTTTTCCTCTAGAGAAATAATTGACTTATTTGTGATTTAAAAAGAAGTCTCCAGTTTCCAAAAATTTTCATTTTCTTGTGCACACTTAGCAACATTATTCTCTGGTTTTCTGTCATAATTATCTCCTCTCTACTTACTCCTGATCATCCAGAAGATAAATATTTAATCTTGTTCCATGAAGACAAGTTACTATGTCTTTTAAACAAAAAAAAATGATGGTAAGAAATGCTTTATTCCCTTATTGCCATGCCCTGCAAATCTGTATCCTCTGGTTTCTTCAGTTGTGGCTACATATTTCATTCAACAAATATTTACTGAGTGCCTTCCAGGGGCCAGGCATTATGCTAAGGCATGTTCAGCCCCACTCCACTTAAAAATTTTTCTTGCCTTTAAACTTTCTTCTGTGTAATACATAAACCCAAAATGCTGATCTGATCATAGCAATTTCTTTTTGAAAACTTTTCAATAATTCATCATTGCCCAGGCACAATAAAATCCAACTGACTTGGTAACATATCAAAGGTTCTCCATGAACCCACAGTAAGCCCATTTCCTGGTCTTATCGCAGGCTTTGTCCCACTAAAGCAGTCTCCAATCTAAGGAAGGCATACTCTTGGAGAGCAAAAAGATTTTTTATGAGATATGTGAGCACAGAGATGGTTTTAAGAAAATCTATTTTGTTTACATTTGTATCCCTACTATGTGGAACATGCTGGGCATTCAATAATTATACTTTGAATGAATGAATGCATGAATGAATCCTAACAGTCCACACATACTCTTCTAACACAGATCTGTCTAAGAATATCCTGTGGTCTGAAAATTTTCCATCCCCAAGTTTGCTTTCATGATGATTTTTCTCCAATTTTCTAAAAGGAAGGCATGGATGTCATACATTCCAAATATTACTAGGGTGCTTTGCCATGGGGAGAAAAATACTTTCTTCCATGGGGAGAACAATAATGGGAAAATTTGAAATACTGTGTTGGTATAAAGTGAATGACCCCATTGAATTGGAAATCAATTCTTTTGCAACTTACTTTCTAATTCGTGCTTTCAACAATAATAAAGAAGGATTTAATGGATTTATAAACAGAGGGAGAATAAAAATGAACTACTGAAGATAAATATAAATCACTGAGATTTTTCTTTTTGTTTACAACTCAGCTCCTACATTTTAAAAAAAGGAATAAAATTATTTCTGAGCCCTGTCTCACTTGAGTAATAAGTAATATTCACTCACCAATTTATGAACTAAATTTAATTCGATTTCATTAAATAATGTATTTCCAGTAATATTTTAATTTTTGTTATACAAGCATAAAGATTTACAGAATATTTATCTTACTGAATAATATCTATATAGTTATATAAGTAATAAGTGACAACAGTTATAATAATAAATTAGTCATGGAGAATATTTTAGACATTTAAAATGTTGCCATCAAGAAATTTAAAAATATACACATATATTTTTTTTTTTGAGACAGAGTCTCACTTTGTCACCCAGGCTGGAGTCAACTGGCACGATCTCGGCTCACTGCAACCTCTGCCTCCAAGGTTCTCGTGCTTCAACCTCCTGTGTAGGTGGGACTACAGGCATGGGGCACCATGCCCAGCTAATTTTTTTTTTTTTTTTTTTTTTTTTTTGTATTTTTAGTAGAGACAGGGTTTCGCCATGTTGCCCAGGCTGGTCTTGAACTACTGAGCTCAGGCAGTCTGCCCGCCTCGGCCTCCCAAAGTGCTTGGATTACAGGCCCGAGCCACTATACCCAGCCAATATACACATATTTTTATTGCAAAGAATTATGAAAGGTAGAGCAAGAAAAGACTTTAAAGTATAAAAACACATTACATTGAAATATAATTCTGTAGGGAAAGTGGAATAGGCTCAAGGAAAACAAGGAATGTTGCAAAATGTACTGTTGTTAAAGAAAAGCCTATTCATGTATTTAAAAGAATAGTTAATAAAGGGTATCGAATGTCTATAATATTTATATTCTAATGGGTACATTTAAAGGAGTGATATGACAGCTTTATTGTCAAATACCAATATTTTCCATCCACTAGAAAAATTAAAACAATTTTTGACAAAATAGTGCTAGATACCAACTTAAAAATACACAAGGAGGTACAAAGCTTCAGAATTCTTTTTGAGTTCAAATGAAGAAAAATGTTTGAAGATCACTCTTTTAAAATAATCCAAAGTTTGCTGCTCAGCTTTTAAAACCTGTTTATGTTGCTGAGGTGGTTGCTCGGCCTAATGGCCCTTTCCACTGTTTCTCTGGCTATGAAAAGCTTATGAATCTTCCCAGGTTTTGCCAATGCCGGGCTTCTCTTCGAAGCTCTCCCTGATTCCAACGCTCTGGAATCTGTGGTAATCCATGACTTCCTCCACTGTGCTTCCACAGCGATTCTGACTTCTAACTACTTGTATCTGACTGCCCAAATAGAGTATGAACATCTTAAAGGGTTTTATTCATGTTTATACGGCCCAAAGGCTCAGCAAATCACTTTGTATAAAGGAATGAAGGGCTTCACAGGTACTGTCGAATGACTTAATATTTTCATTAATTGAAGGAAGAGTTCTTGCCTAAGAAATTGAAAGAATGATAGCAAAATACACAAAGGGAGAGAGTATCTTGTGGGGAAAAACATTAGGGTTACGTGTTTGGCTTTAGGCTGATTGGTTTCGGGTGAGGGCAGTACAGCAAAGTGGAGATGTCCTAAGGATGGAAATGTGAGACTGAAGTGCCTGTGGAAGGCTGGACTTCAAGAGCTGTATTAAGCAATGGCCTAAGAGATGACAGGTGACTCTCTCAAAATGGATGACCTCGCTCTGGAAATGAGCTTCAAATGTGCGTAAATCCTTTAGATAAATGGAGGGAAACGTTTAGGAAGATAGAGGAGCTAGCAAGGAAGGAAAAATTGGATCTTGTAAGTACAGGGATGAAGTGAGAAGAGAGATTTAAAAAGGAACAAGTGAGCCTTAGAAATCAAGAGTATGGCCAAAAAAAAAAAAAAAAAAAAAAGCCATGTATTGCCATGTATTTTCTTTAAGAAAGGTGTAGAAACCAATGACAAGAGGGAAATTTATAAACAAGAAATGAAAGAGGAGCAGAGCACAAATTTGAAGTGTGGGAGAGATTTGACTATAGCTATGAGACGCAGCCTAGATAAATCAAGACCACATTTTGTTGTTATCGTTTATGGTTTTTTTTTTTCCAAGAGACAGGGTCTCACTCTGTTGCACAGGCTGGAGTGCAGTTGTGTGATCATAGCTCACTGCAGCCTTGAATTCCCAGGCTCAAGTGATCCTCCTGCCTCAGCCACCCAAGTAGCTGAGACTACAGGTGCACACTACCAACCGACTTAATTTTTTATTAAACAATACAGATTTATTACCTTACAGTCTGGGGATTAGAAAACAAACACGGGTCTTACTGGACTAAAAGCAAAGGGTTGGCAGGGCTGTGTGGCTTTCTGGAGGTTCTAGAGGGGGATCTCTTTTCTTCCCTTGAATTTGAGTACCAAAAATACTATGTGAATATTTCACACCTTTTTAAAATATTTTCTTTTAGGTTCAGAGATACATGTTACATAGGGTTTGTTATATAGTTGAATTGAGTGTTGTAGGGGTTTGGTATACACTTGGTTTCATTATCCAGATAATAAGCATTAGTACTCAACAGGTAGTTTTTCAAACCTCACCCTCTTCCCATACTCCTCCCTCAAGTAGGACCTAGTATCTATTGTTTCCTTCTTTGTGTCCACATGTACTCACTATTTAGTTCTCACTTATAAGTGAGAACATGCAGTATTTTGTTTCCTGTTCCTGTGTTAGTTTGCCTAGGAAAATGGCCTCCAGCTCTATCCATGTTGCTGCAAAGACATGATTTCCCTTTTTTATGGCTGTATAGTATTCCATGGTCTTTATGTACCACATGTTCTTTATCCAGTCTACCATTTTTCACCATTTAGGTTGATTCTGTATCTTTCCTATTGTGAGTTGTGAGTTACCTCTAGGCTTGTCTCTAACTTTTAGCCTCAACTGATCCTTCCACTTTGAGAGGGATTATAGGTGTGAGCTGGGATTATAGGTGTGAGCTACTGTGCCCAGCCATTGTTCTGTTTTTAAATGAAGACAGACTTGGATGAGAAGAGAATATAAACCAGAAAAGTAGAGGTAATTTTATGAGATAAATACAGGAGAATAATTTATGACCCATAAAATTCATTTTTTCTATATTCTGTATTCTATATTCAGTGCTTTTAAAATTCCAAAATGCTTTCATTTATTATAAATAGGAGCTCTAGTATTGTTCTAGTATCGATAAATGAAAGTTGCAATACAAGAAAAGGAGAAAAATATTAGTGAATCCATTAGAATTATATGTACACATATTTTTCTTAACCTTTATATGCACTGTGATATTCTAAAGTTAGAAAATAAAAATTAGTTTTGGCTGAACAAGTCTGTTGATTTAAATTATAAAATACATTAAATATATCATACTAGTGTTATTTGCTTTAGATTTTAACCTTCTAACTGGCCTGGTGCAGTGTCTCATGCCTGTAATCCCAGCATTTGGGGAGGCTGAGGTGGGAGGATGACTTAAGTTCAGAAGTTCAAGGCCAGTCTGGGTAACATAGAGAGGCTCCATCTCTACCAAAAATAAAAAAAAAAGTTAGCCAAGCTTGGTGGGGCATGCCTGTAGTTCCAGCTCATCAAGAGGCTGAGGTGGGAGGATTGCTTGAACCTGGGTCAAGGCTGCAGCGAGCTGTGATCACGCCACTGCATTCCAATGAGGTAACAGAGTAAGACCCCTTCTCCCAAAAAACAAAAAAGCTTTTAGGTGCTCGAAGATATATTTGCATGTCCTTATGAAGGTCAGTTTTCTGTGATATCCTTAATAATCACAAAACATCCTTTTATTTTTATCTTGACATGAATAACAGAAAATTCAAAAACAATATACATGGGATGATGGAAATTTTATGAAATAAGCTTAATATCTACATTCATTTTTTTTTTTTTGAGATGAGTCTCACTCTGTCATCCAGGCTGGAGTGCAGTGGTATGATCTCTCCTCACTGCAACCTCTGCCTCCTGGAGGGTTCAAGTGACTCTCCTGCCTCAGCTTCCTGAGTAGCTGGGACTACAGATGTGCACCACCACACCCAGCTAATTTTTGTATTTTTAGTAGACATGGGGTTTCACCGTGTTGGCCAGGCTGTTCTCTAACTCCTGACCTCAGGTGATCCGGCTGCCTCAGCCACACAACGTGCTGGGATTCCAGGCATGAGCCAGCACACCTGGCCAATATCTACATTAACTAACACCCGTCTGAAACATAATAATAGTGAAGTATTTACAGATAATGAAAATAGAGCTATTCCAAATGGCATGAGATGTAAATGATATGCCATAAGACTTAGACTTGCCTTAACTTCAATTATTCAAAAATATCTAAAGAGCTTAGTGTTTTGATGATTAAATCAGATCTTGGAAAGCCTCCACCTAAGTTATATAGAGAAAATGAAATGGAAAAAAAAAAAAGGAGAGCTGTACCTTTTCTCACATTCCCTATTTACACAACTTTGAAGTCTTCTATCAGCTCAGGTGCTTTTTCCCAAGAACAGAAACAAATCAAAATTTGATCTGAGGACCTAGCAGAGCTGACTGAGGAGGATTTTGCCCCATTGGCATTTCAACCCACATGGTCCCCTCTGGAGAATGAGGAGGAGGAAGGGGGAGGGCAAAACTTGTTAGGCCCTACTAGGGCACCAGCTTCTATAAGCTAGAGGACCACAAAGTAGAAGATACCAAATGCTTCTGGATATTGCTTTTATATGCAGAGGAATAGAATTTTATTTCTCAAGATTAGTAAAAGAAAATCTTCCTCTCCATTCAATTGACTTCAATCACGGTACTTTTTTTTTTTAACAGATGAGAGTTAGTGAGTTGCAAGCCAACCCCACTGCCATCCCCATTACTATTTTGTCTCTTCAGGTTCAAGATGGTGAGCTCTAGTTTTAATAATAAATATAAAATGACACAATGAGGGTTTTTGCAGAGCAAACACACATAATCCTTTTTAACTAACTAACCAGCCTTTTGCTACCTGGTTGGATACTATGGATGTCACCTTATAAGATGGTGTTTCTGTACAACTTTAATTAATTAATTCAACAAAAATTTATTTAGCAGCTAATATATGCCAGGAACAATTTCTGGCAGTGGGGATACATTAGTAAACAAATCAATGTTAACTGTCCCCCTGAAGTGTGTATTCTAGTGGTAGAGCCAAGGTTGAGAGTGGTGAGAGGAACTTGCAACAAATATAATAAATACAATTCTATAGTAGGTTAGAAAGTGATAACTGCTACAGAAAACAAAACAGATCAGGGTAAGAGAAGTATGGAGAAGGGGGTTTGGACTGCAATTTTAAATAGGGTGTTAGAGTAGTGCTCATGTATCTGTAGAGAGTGATATTTGAGCAAGGACTCAAAGTAGGTGAGCTTAACTTCACTGTCTCAGGATACTGAATTACTATTTTTACTGAGAGACTAATGTATCTGACAATGGTAAAAAGGACTTCAAAAGGGTTTCTTTCAGCCTGCATCACCAAGTCAATCCTAAGCCAAAAGAACAAAGCTGGAGGCATCACACTACCTGACTTCAAACTATACTACAAGGCTACAGTAACCAAAACAGCATGGTACTGGTACCAAAACAGAGACATAGATCAATGGAACAGAACAGAGCCCTCAGAAATGACGCCGCATATCTACAACTGTCTGATCTTTGACAAACCTGAGAAAAACAAGCAATGGGGAAAGGATTCCCTATTTAATAAATGGTGCTGGGAAAACTGGCTAGCCATATGTAGAAAGCTGAAACTGGATCCCTTCCTTACACCTTATACAAAAATTAATTCAAGATGGATTAAAGACTTAAACGTTAGACCTAAAACCATAAAAACCCTAGAAGAAAACCTAGGCATTACCATTCAGGACATAGGCATGAGCAAGGACTTCATATCTAAAACACCAAAAAGCAATGGCAACAAAAGCCAAAATTGACAAATGGGATATAATTAAACTCAAGAGCTTCTGCACAGCAAACGAAACTACCATCAGAGTGAACAGGCAACCTACAAAATGGGAGAAAATTTTCGCAACCTATTCATCTGACAAAGGGCTAATATCCAGAATCTACAATGAACTCAAACAAATTTACAAGAAAAAAACAAACAACCCCATCAAAAAGTGGGCGAAGGACATGAACAGACACTTCTCAAAAGAAGACATTTATGCAGCCAAAAAACACATGAAAAAATGCTCATCATCACTGGCCATCAGAGAAATGCAAATCAAAACCACAATGAGATACCATCTCACACCAGTTAGAATGGCAATCATTAAAAAGTCAGGAAACAACAGCTGCTGGAGAGGATGTGGAGAAATAGGAACACTTTCACACTGTTGGTGGGACTGTAAACTAGTTCAACCACTGTGGAAGTCAGTGTGGCGATTCCTCAGGGATCTAGAAGTAGAAATACCATTTGACCCAGCCATCCCATTACTGGGTGTATAACCAAAGGACTATAAATCATGCTGCTATAAAGACACATGCACATGTATGTTTATTGCGGCACTATTCACAATAGCAAAGACTTGGAACCAACCCAAATGTCCAACAATGATAGACTGGATTAAGGAAATGTGGCACAGATACACCACAGCCATACTATGACTAGAATACTATGCAGCCATAAAAATGATGAGTTCATGTCCTTTGTAGGGACATGGATGAAATTGGAAATCATCATTCTCAGTAAACTATCGCAAGGACAAAAAAAAACAAACACTGCATGCTCTCACTCATAGGTGGGAATTGAACAATGAGAACACATGGACACAGGAAGGGGAACATCACACTCTGGGGACTGTTGTGGGATGGGGGGAGGGGGGAGGGATAGCATTAGGAGATATACCTAATGCTAAATGATGAGTTAATGGGTGCAGCACACCAGCATGGCACATGTATACATATGTAACTAACCTGCACATTATGCACGTGTACCCTAAAACTTAAAGTATAATAATAATAATAATAAAAAGGGTTTCTTTCTTTCTCTCTCTCCCTCTCTTTCTCTCTCTCTCTTTCTCTCTTTATTTCTTTCCCTCTCTTTCTTCCTTTCCTTTCCTTTCCTTCTTTTTTGGTTCATTTTCATTTGGGGGACATGATTAGTTTCCTATTCTTGATGAACATATTTTAAAATAATTGGCAGTTTTATAATAAAGTATGAACTACTGAACCTATTATCTGTATATGATTAAACCAAGCCTAGACATGACCCATTGTACAGGTTATGTGATTGAAAATTCGGTACATAAATATGTTGCAAATATCCAACTCAGCATAACTGAGCATAGCTGAGTGATATAATTTAAAGACCCATGACAGCAAAGAGCTGTGTGCCTTTGTCTGTGCTGTATCTACTGAACCTAGAACAGTGTTTGGCTCATAATATGTACTCAATAAATACTAGTTTGATGAATGAGGCAAAGAATGATTAGGGGCAGTGGGATTGAGTATAAGTAATGGAGATGTTTGAGATTTCAGGCTATCAGAGATGTCTGACCTTTTCATATGGTCCAGGAGCAGAACTGGACTTTCAACCTAACCAAACTCTTTAGAAAACCTTATTATGATGAAGGATTTTCCAAATGTATATTTATTGCATCTGAGTTGTCTGCATCTAATATTTTAGAGCCGTGGTCCCCAACCTTTTTGGCAACAGGGACAGGTTTAGTGGAAGACAGTTTTTCCATGGGAGCATGGAGGGGGCGGGCATTTAATTCTCATAAGGAGTGCACAACCAGAAGATCCTTCTCTTGTGCAGTTCACAATAGGGTTTGCACTCCTATGACAATCTAATGCTGCTGCTGTTCTTAAGGAGGCGGAACACAGAAGATAATGCTTTCTGGCCCACCGCACACCTCCTGTTGTTCGGCCCAGTTCCTAACAGGCCACGTACAGGTACAGGTCCACGGCCTGGGGACTGAGGACCTCTGTTTTAGAAGAGGAATAGGGAGGTAGTTTATACTTCAGGTGTATTTTTCTCCCTTCCTTCCTTCCTTCCTTCTTTCCTTCCTTCTGTTTTTATTATTTTTTTTTTTTTTAGGAATCTCACTCTGTTGCCCAGGCTGGAGGGCAATGGCACGATCTTGGCTCACTGCAACCTCGCCTCCCAGGTTCAAGTGATTCTCCTACCTCAGCCTTCAGAGTAGCCGGGACTACAGGCACCTGCCACCACACCCGGCTAATTTTTGTATTTTTAGTAGAGATGGGGTTTCACCATGATGGCCAGGCTGGTCTCAAACTCCCGACCTCAGGTGATCCGCCCTCCTCCGCCTACCAAAATGCTAGGATTACAGGCGTGAGCCATCTCGGCCGGCCTTATTTTATTTTTCTACCTCTCGAGTCAGTAGCTGATACTGTGTTGACAGACTTGGGGAAAGCCAATTAAAAGGCCTAGACACAGAAAATTAGAACCCCAATATCTAGTCAGTTTTCTGCAATTGCAGTAAAATATAGAAAGATGTAACCATGTTAACCATGAAGCTCTCTTCTCCAATCCTATAATGAAGAATAAATATCTCCTGTACGCATGCTAACTCTGTATTCCTTCCCTGCAAAAGTATCTTCCTTCAGAAGACCACAGTGCGTGGAGACTGGAAGTGCAAGGGCCAGGTTAGGAAAGATGTCATTTACTAGAGTTTCAGATGTCATCTGCACCTCAATGTTGCCAGTTGTTTGTAACTGATTAGCAGATACTAAGACATGAATCCATTAATTAGTATCTTCACATCCATGGTTGTTTTCTTCCCCATGTAAGCAGAGAGCATTGTGAGTCCTCTGTGCTCCATTAGTTGTCCAGAGACACAAAAACATCATCTTTAGAAATTCTGAGTCCCAGAAAAGTCTATGTTATTTTTCTATGTTTAGCAGGCAATATTTGTGGCTGTCTGTGCACATGAGCTCCCTTAGGACAGAATTCATATCTTTTTCAGGTTTTTATCATATGAAACTCAATAAATGGCAGTTAAATGAAACTATAAATGAAGAAATGAAATGTTCCGTTTTGCGAAAAAAAATTGTCCGTTAAAACTGGGAATTAAAAATTATGACATGCTTGCATGAGAAGTAAAAAATTATGGCAGGTATATAAAAATCGGAATTTATCAATGATCTCAACTGAGTAGACTAGATAGCCATGATGACTACATTTAGCAAATAACTGCTCTATTTCCCTTTGGTCTGCAAAAAAATTTTAATGGTTTCAAAAATTACCTTTATCACATAATACATTTTATTATCAAATTCTGGTTTGAAAAAGGGACTGTTATTAATAAGAGAAGTTAAGTGACAATGCCCGATGTCAAATGAAAGGCTTACAGTGAGAGACAAAGAGGACATTAATAAAATCAACATGATCTGCTTCTCAGACATAGCTCACTCCCGTGACTGATATGCTGACAGTTACATACCCAATTCATGTTATTATCACAGCATAAAGGCATGTTTATGAAGGCAAGGTCATTTGTAATATAAAATAAAATGGTCTCAGCATGTCCACTATGAGCAAATGCTGAAATATTACCCATTTAATGAATATTAATTATATATTAAAACCTACAATTAAATACATAAAAAAGAACAACTGCTGCCTAGACTCAGGAAAGATACTATTGAGGCAAGTTCTGATACTTGATCTGCCATTTCAATTATTTTAAAGTGTTCCAAAATATTTATGCCACAGGTTTTTAGAGAAAATTTATTTGCTTTGCAGAAGTAAAGGATGAGGGATTTTTATACCCTTTCCCCAAATGAGAACCAAAGAAGTACCTGTAGAATTGCAACCTCATTACGAAGCTGGCTTTCTTGTTTTGTTGGAAATCGTAATTTGTCAATGATTTTAATAGCTACATCTCTTCCTGTTTTACGATGTTTTCCTTTAAAATGAAAAAGGGAAGCATTAGTAAGTTATTAAATATCATCTATCTTAAAGAACACTAAAATTTGCAAGGACATTTAAAGAAATGATAAACATATTTCACTGAATAAATTAACATTTCTAAAGAGCACTGACTTACATATATATATATAAAGATTTCATTATTCTAAATCAAATATGTGCTTTAAAAATAGCCATAATTTAGAACGCAAAAGAATTGGGGCATTAAAAGCTATACGTATCAACACCCTGTTTTTTTCATAAAATATATGTTTTAGAAACAGAATATTGAGTTACTTAGTATAGAAAATATTTGTATCACCACCAAATTAACTCCCCTTTAGAAAGTATAATTTTAAAGTCCTGATAAGATAATGTATGTTATAGGGGAAAGAATTAAAGTCTTGGCTCTGTCACTTATTAGCTCTGTGATCTTGAGCAAATCACTCACTCTTTCTGAATTTTAGGTTCCTCATCTACAATGAGGAGAAGATTGGATGAAAGGAGGCATGTAAAGTATACAAAATACCCTGGTAACTATGCACACTCAAAAATGGTTAGTTATCATCATCATCACCATATAATAGGCCCTTTATGTATATTACACCTCATTTAACTACTATAACAAACTTTTCAGGAATTCTACGGAGCACCCCCAAGTTCTTAACTTCTACACTACTATATTGTGGTAGGTACAAAAATGTAGCAGTGTTAATTGAATCTGAAAATAATAAATGAAAATGAATCAGAAAATAGAAATGGAAAATGGATCTAATTACTCAAACTTTTTGGTAACATACAAACTAACTTGAAATTCCAGTCTTCCAACACTTGTAAAGCTAGTGTTCACTCACCTTATATCCCACTCTCACTATTCCTTCTCTTTCCAGACTGCTTCCCTTCACTATCAAATCAGCTTGTGTTCATGTTCTCTACTTCCTTAACATCATTTCTTACTGTTTGATTGACTGCAGTCTCTATTTCAACTTAGCCATTTTCCTGCAAGTACTTTTTTCAAGGCCATGACTTCTTTCATCTCTACTCCTCCGTCACTGTAGTACTTGACCTCTCTTCTGAGACTCTTCTCATCTACTTTACTCCATTTGTGTCTAATCTTAACGTTTCAGTCTTCCAGGTGGCAGCCTCCTCCTATTCCTGGTCTTCAGTGTTGGATGTTCCAAATTATCTGGCATCTGCTGGTCTCTCTACTCTCATTTGTCACCCTTGTCTCACCCCTATACGATGTGCATTATGTATATTTACCATGATCTATCTACCATAATTTTTTTTTGCATGCAACTATTATACTGTAGAGCAGTAATCAAACATTTGGTCCCCTCTATTATACCGTTACGCATTAACAAACGGTACAATGGTTAGTGGCTCATGATAGGTTTCTCATCAAAGAAATCACTGGAGCATTTTATAAGACTCAACATTACATTGTGAAATAGAGTAGAACTTAATTACTTTTTAAATTAAAAAGTACAATATCATATAGTGATAAATAAAATTGAATGGGACATTGTGATTATTTCAGAACACTAAACCTCACCATAAGAAATAATTTCTTATTGATAATATTAAGGAACTGAAAGTTATGAGTTCATTTTACAGGGCAGGTAAAGCATTAATATTAAATATTTTTTAAAGACTTGAAAAATACCCTTTAACTGGCTGGAATCTAAAATAGCAGAAGTTAGAATAATAAACTTACCAAAGAGCTTGACAATAAGAAAATAGGTAAAGACTTGATATTTCACCTCAAAAATTAAAAAAAAATTCAAACCTTCAGGAAACAAATATATTGTTAAAGACACTGGAAAGTTAAATTTTGTTTTGTCTAATAACATGAATGGACTTCTGATCAAGTACGCCAAAAGAAAATGGAATTAATTTGTTTACAAATCACAACTTCCTTGTTTTCTCAATATTTTGTCTGATATTCCAAACTTCTTCAGTACTGTGTGTACAGTTTGCCTATATTAAAGAAAAAATGTTTTTCAGGAATATGAAACCTTCTCTTTCAAAACACACATATCCCAATTTTCCAAGTAGTAACTATCTCAAAAAAATTTTTTAAACGCAGAACACAAAAAGATACACACACAGAAATATATACACATAGGTCTTCTCTTCTATGTTTTTCCTGTAAATATCGCTTTTTAAAATATAACTAGCAAAAATTTTAAGTTCATAAAAATACTCAGTGAGATAACCTACCTCCATAAACAATTCCAAACTGTCCAGAACCCAGTACTTCATCAGGAAAAATCTGATATACTGTGCTGATGTCCTAGAGGTACAAGCCCAATGAAAAAAAAACATGAAGCAGAACAAAACATTAGTCCTAAAAATTAATATAATTCTATTAAATATATTATAAACTAAGTATTTTAAAAATAAATTATAAATGCTAGATGAAATCTGAGATGACTGTAATATTCAAAGCACACTCTTTTTTTTTTTTTTGAGATGGAGTCTCGCTCTGTTGCCCAGGCTGGAGTGCAGTGGCGCAATCTTGGCTCACTGCAACCTCCACCTCCCAGGTTCAAGAGATTCTCCTGCCTCAGCCTCCTGAGTAGTTGGGATTACAGGCACACGCCACCACGCCCAGCTAATTTTTGTATTTTTAGTAGAGATGGGGTTTCACCATGTTGGTCAGGCTGGTCTGGAACTTCTGACCTAGTGATCCGCCTGCCTTGGCCTCCCAAGGTGCTGGGATTACAGGCATGAGCCACCACACTCGGCCTCAAAGCACACTCTTTAATTAATGTAATAACGTAATGTTACGAAAACTGTTCTGATCTTAAGTGGCAGAGGTTTTCTAACGTGCTAGCACATATGTTTCATTAGAAAGAAATATGACTAAAAACCATACAATGTGATTTACTATAAGTATTGAAAAAGATATTTGCCTGTTGAGATGGCTATTTGGAAATGTCATTAAATAATCACGGTTCCCAACCACATGTCTGTGTGAATCCTGATTCCAACCACTTCTCCCTGTATGGCTAGAATGAAAAGGTTGCTCCCTTATTAGTCACCCACATGCAGATGAACCCAAAGTGACAGAAGAGGAGGCTGAATCACTGTGAGTGAGCTGGAGAGGCTGCAGAAGGATGGCAACCTATATGAAATTCTCATCTGTGAAGTAGCTAAACTCGTCCAATTTCATCACTTCGGGAGCTAACAAGTTCCAAAAGTCTAATTCTTTCTCTTTGAAATAATAAGTGCTGAATAAAGCATCTTTTAAATCTATGTTTTATTGTCTGTGATTTCATTCTGATGAAATCACCAGGTAATTCTTTTTTCCCTTATATATTCCTATTACATCCTATCAGATTTTCCAACTATCTTCTACCCTTATACTCTGACTTTATTTTTTTAAACTCCTTCTGCATGTTCTGCACATGTACCCCAGAAGTTAAAGTATAATAAAAAGAAGCCCTTTAATATCAAATCCCACCCTCTCCATATCCTATAAACCCTTATCTTTTTCCTTTGTTCTTCCCCCTAGAAAATAACTACAAGTTGTATCCATCCTGTGATTCTTCAAAGTCCCCACAGGATGAGTTCAACGCTGTCTAGGGACAAGACAAGTAATATTAATACTATTCTATTATTCTGATTTCAAGCTACTTCATCTGTTAAGAGAAGTGTTCTTTAGGCTTTCCGATAACTCAATGGCCGATCCAAAATCTTCAGTGGACAACAGTGGCTGAATAGAGTGGAACAATTCCACAGCTATCAGGAATTTCCCAAGAGGCTTATAGAGTAACTTGTATTTCCTGAAATGTCTCTGGCTAAACAAAGGCAATAGGAATCTGCAGAAAAGAAATTTCTTTAGGAATTTATCTCATGATTGACAGCACAAGAATTTATCTAACCTTCACTATGAAGTTTAACTAGTTCTCTCAAATTCATATTTGGCTGTTTACTTTATGCCACTTTAATGTAGTTTTCAGAAATATAATAAGGATGAATAGAGTTTCATGAAGTTAATTTTCTTAAACAAATTTTTAGAAAGTGTAAGCTGTAAACTGCATTCTTTTGGCCATAGATACAGCAGGTAAAATAGACAAAAGGGTCTGGGTCACAGGAGGAGGTAGAAAAGGCCTTATTACTTTTTGGCTACTTGCCATAGGGATAAAATATAACAAATAAAGCAAACATTTGACGGACTGTAAAATATTTCATAATATGTCTGATCTACAATTTTCAAAAACTGAGCTGCAAGGATGGAGTTACGTGGCGCAGATGACTAGGGTGCTAAAATGAGAACCCGTAAGATTCGATTTATGCAACTTTCTTAAAGTCTCCTTGATGTGTACAAGTGACTATAAGAGCATTTGCAACTCCTTGTCATATTATGGCACTTCTAGGTAGCAACTAAGGAATGAGAACAATGGCATTTTTAAGCTACTCATGCAAATTGAGAAATTTATTTTATTTTGCTCATGTATTTATTTTACTGTGTAATATCAACCATTAAAATTCCAGTACCAAGAAGGGCAAATATGTGAGAAATCAGGCATCACATTATAATTGCCTAGCTGAGAAAAACAGATATTTGGCTCTACATTACAGAATTGATTATAGAAAAATTACTAATCTATATAATTTAATATTTCTAAAATATCACAAAAAAATATCCAAATTCTATTTTGCTTTCCAAAATTTACTAAAAAATTAAAATGAATTAAAAAAACTATTTTATGATGCTTTTATTTTCCAGTAATCACATTAGCAAGTTTTATATTAGTAGGTACATACTTACCACATTTTCTTGAATCTGGCAATTTGATACTGAAATACTCACAGAGATATCTCCTGGAAATGCATGTAAAACAATATGCACACAAAAAGTCAGTAAGAGATGTAATAGCAAAACAAGTAAGTACATGCTTACAAATCATCCTGCAAAAGTGGTTTTAACTAAATCATAGCAATTAGGTTTTTCTAAGAAAATGTCATTAGAATATTTATTTCCTTTCAAAATTACATATTCAACATACTTGTTTTTGAAAAATAATATTTCATCAATTTAGGGTTTGGAGTCAGAAGGACTTGGATTCAAATACTGGCTTTGCTACTTCACAGCTTTGGTACAAGCTTAGACAACTTAACCTCGCTCGAGAGACACTGATTTCTTAAGTTGTAAAACAGGCAAATCGTTAAAGTCTACCTGTTGGAATTCGATTAGGCATTAAAATAGAGGTCTCATATAAAGTGCTTAGCACTAAAATAGGCATATATATTCTATTAATATGTATTTTCGTTGTAGAGATAAATTAAAAAATTATGACAGATAAATGGATAACACTATAATGTAAAAAAACCAGAGGTTAATTCATAGGTTTCATTATGAGTAACTATTATGAAATTTAAAAATAAATGACTTTTTTATAGAAATATTCCTCTAAAATTTCTTCTTTAAAATTTATCCTCAATACTGAATCTAGGTTGCATTTTAGCAAATGTATCTCATTCTACTAATGAACAGAGAATTCTTCCTGGGATAAAGTGATCAAGAATTACCAATTACCATGTACTCTGCACGTCAATACCCTGCACAGAATACTAGGTGAGGTGTTTTTAGGGAAACTTATTAATTCAGATTTGCAAATAACAAGACTTGCATTCCATGTCAAGCTGAAGCTGGCTAGATTTCTTCTTCTTCCTTCTTCCTTCTCCTTCTCCTTCTTCCTTTTCCTCTTCCTCCTCCTCTTCTTCTTCTTCTCCTTCTCCTTCTTCTTCTGCTTCTTCTTCTTCTCCCTCTTCTTTTTCTTCTTGCTCTTTCTCTTCCTCTTCCTCTTCATGTCCTTCTCCTTTCTTCTTCTTCTCTTGCATTCCATGTCAAGCTGAAGCTGGCTAGATTTCTCCTCCTCCTTCTCCCCCTCCTCCTCCTCTTTCTTGCCCAGGCAGGAATGCAGTGGCTTGATCTTGGCTCACTGCAACCTATGCTTCCTGAGCTCAAGCAATTCTCCTGCCTCAGCCTCCAGAGTAGCTGGGACCACAGGCGCATGACACTATGCCTGGCTAATTTTTGTATTTTTTGTAGAGACAGGGTTTCCCCATGTTGCCCAGGCTGGACTAGAACTCTTGGCTCAAGTCCTCCACCTACCTTGGCCTCCCTAAGAGCTGGGTTTAGAGGTGTGAGCCACTGAGCCCGGCCAGATTACTTCTTCTTTTATAACCAATAGCTCTAGAGGTCTGTAATTGCCTAATACATAGTGTTTACCTGAATTTGTTAAATTTTAATATAAAATAGCTATAATAAAATAGGATAATTTAACAAACTAAACATCTTAGTATGTGCAGCAGCTTTTATTTAGACACCCTACATTCTACAATAAACTAAGTCATCCCCAAGAAGTCTTTCTTCATTCTGTTCTTAGGAAGGGCAGGGCACATGTTTACTAAGCAAGGGGTAGGCACATGATGAGCTTTGGGCTGGTTAGAAAACTGGCAGACTCACTGTGCAAGTTGGTTCCTGTACCCACGGAGGAGCCCTTGGGAATGACGGGCATAAGGGCATGCTGGATGGCTATCTCCCACATCCTGGCCACATCTGCACCAACGCCACTGGTGAGAACACTGTTATTTGGTGATGGGCTGGAAGGATTGACCACATTTTCTCCCACATAATACACTACATTTGCCGTAGTGATTTCGAAACAATGAGGATTGGCCCCATTAGGAATTAAAGCTGAAGTTTTTACTGGTTCCAGAGACAAAATTTCAGATAAAGGAATTTCCTGTGAAAGAAAAAAAGTACTAAATGTTGTTTATCAAAAGTATGTAAACTTTCAAAGAAAATTCATGCCAAGAACATGTGAAAAATGACATCACAAATAGCCACCATTTAAATAAAATACTTTTAAACTATAAAACACAGAATACTGCTAAGCAAAATTAAAAAAAATACCTTTACTATGGGAAACCTTATTTCCTTTTTCTAGAAAATGTGACTTTTTATGCTATGTTCATGTGGCGAGAATCAGTATGGTTAGGAAAAATGATTTTGAATCTTCACCAAAATCCAAGACTTAGAAAATAAGCGATAATTTTTGTAACAGTGAGGTAGAATCACAACACTTTTGAAATGCATTTAGGCAGACATGGCTATTTTTAAATTTTAACCTATTCTTTAAGGCACTCAATACATGTTAATGTAATAACATAGCCAAGTGAATAGTTTAAGTGAGGACAACTAGAGATTGGTTTTAAAATGGTCTTTTTTTTTTTTTTTCCAAGAAAGAATCTTGCTCCGTCACCTACGCTGGAGTGCAGTGGCGTGATCTCGGCTCACTGCAACCTCCATCTCCCAGTTTCAAGCAATTCTCCTGCCTCAGCCTCCCAAGTAGCTGGAATTACAGGCACCTGCCACTACACCTGGCTAATTTTTGTATTTTTAGTAGAGACAGGGTTTCAACATGTTGGCCAGCCTGGTCTTGAACTCCTAACCTCATGCTGCCTGCCTCGGTGTCCCAAAGTCCTGGGATTACAAGGGTGAGCCACTGCGCCTGGCCTTTTATTTATTTATTTTTATTTTTGAGACAGAGACTTATTCTGTTGCTCAGGCTGGAGTGCATTGGTGCAATCCTGGCTCGCTGCAAACTCCGCCTCCTAGATTAAGGTGATTCTCCTGCCTCAGCATCCTGAGTAGCTGAGATTACAGGTGCATCCCATCACGACTGGCTAATTTGTGTATTTTTGTAAAGACAAGGTTTCACCATGTTGGCCAGGCTGGTCTAGAACTCCTGACCTCAAATGATCCACCTGCCTCGGCCTCCCAAAGTGCTGGGATTACAGGCATGAGCCACTGCGCCTGGCCAATAGTCATCATTTTTAAGGCAATTCATACTAAAAAAAAGAAATCACTACTGCATCTTCCAGGAAGTATGCAGGGGCTAAAAAATAATAACTTTTAAAACAAAGTTTTAATTTTAAAATTAGTGAGGTTTCCATTTTCTGTGACAGCTATGTAAAATGGCTGTGGAGAATCAAATCAACTATTCCAGAGTCTGCATTCATTTTGAAGGAGCAAGTATCTATTATTTTCTCTATGAAGTTTTTTTTGGAGTTGTGTTTTACTGGGTGATATAGTATGCCACATCTGTATTACTTAATGTAGAGGGACAGAATAAAAATTGCTGCCATTTTTTTCTCTAGAGGAAAGTGCTCTT
Organism: Homo sapiens; assembly: GCF_000001405.40. Classification (NCBI taxonomy): domain Eukaryota; kingdom Metazoa; phylum Chordata; class Mammalia; order Primates; family Hominidae; genus Homo; species Homo sapiens. The sequence continues at coordinate 29,632,453 of NC_000014.9, forward strand.
TGTGAATATTGACAAGCATGGAGAAATCATACAATGTTTCTTCACTCCTAGCAGTGTGCTAGATGCAGTGGATATCAGGAGTTTACTTTGAGCTGATCTGCTGTGACCATTAATTTTCTAGTTAAATCACACTTCTCTGCTAACATATTCAATTAATCTTCACCTCCCTCCCTCTCCCATCATCCCATGGTACCAGAAACACTCCCCAGGGAAATTTAAAATTCACAGAAGAATCAAGAGGTCCCAACCTGAATCCCAAGAAATTTGTAGACTATAGAGAAGAAAAAAAAAATAGTTCCTGGAGGAAGCACAAAAATAGCCACGTTTGTTGGATGTATTTCCTATTTCTTATACTCTACATTCCCATGAAAAAGCAATAAGAGGTATGAAACTACAAAGAAAGAGCCCACTCTTACCTTGTAGTACCTGCTTCCTGTGTCATTCTGAAAGAGGGTAATACATTTGCTATCCAATCTCCAATAGTGCCGTTTCCGCTGAAACAGAAGTTAGATCCAAGATCTTTTTAAAAAACTTTAAAAATATCCCCAATTGAAAACATAAATAGATTTCCCCAATAGGGACATGCGATTTGAGGGTGGAAAGTGCATGGGCTTTGGGAAAGGCAGACTCATGCTCAATTTCAGGCTCTAGAGGTTGACTATTTAGCACATGTCTGATAAGTATCTGCATTTATGTTACAGGGTCGTGAGTAATAAAGAAGATGAAGTATTAGCGCCCAGTAAGAGCCTGGCATTTAGAAAGTGCATAGTAAACAGAAAACATCATTTTTAAGCTTATTTCACTGCTTGAAGGGCTAAAGGTGGATGTATAGTCTATAATAAAATAAGGTTTACTAGGAGATGCAATGTTTATTATGCATGCTCATTATTTTAGGACGTAAGAAATCCCATGCTGATGGAGCCAGGTATTCTTGCTTCCATTGGCAATGGGAAAATTCTGAATGTTAGAGTAGAAGTAAAGAATATTTTGTTGGACAATAAGTTTGACTCCATGACATCAACTTAAAGTCAGGGGAATGCATCAAACAACCAACTCTACCTTCTCTCCAGCTCACTACAGATCTAACCACTATGATTTGATGAACAGGTCCTTCTACACTGTAGGTATATCTTTCAGGATTTTAGGGTGTGTGTGTATTTTTATCTTATAAAAGACCCCAAAGCTCTATGATTCCGCTCTTCTCCTCCACAACCAATTTTAGGCCAGTCAAATATATTAAATATATTACACCATGTCTAAAAAGAACTAGGCGGTATTCAATTGAGTCCTATAATATCAGGTAGGTCTTCTCTCTCTAACACAGATGGTCGAAATTATAGATAGATCAATTAGGTTATAGGTGTCTGCTTATCTGTAGTGATCCTATAGGTAAGAGATGAGAAAAGCAATACAGTAACAGAAATCAGTCAATTGTCAACTTAACTTTGAAACGTGAATCAAGTTGTTCTCTCTTACGTACGTACACAACCTCATTCCTCAACTATTAAGAAAATCTCAGGGTACAGGATTCCAATGTTCCTGAATGGGTCAGTTCTTCAGGGAAAACTTAGTTAAGGACTTACGAAGTATAAGATAGTTATCACTGTTTTATTCTCTGCCTAGAATGCAGTGTTTCCTATAAAATTCTAAATTGCAGTGAAGCATTCTGAAAGCACATACTGTGGCTTCCACAAGTGCTATAAAATGGCAGGTAGACATCTCAGGTAATCAAGGTCAATGAATTTGTTTGCCTGAAATTGCTTTCCACACTTTTTCCTAACTTCGTTGCTTGCTCAACTATATCTGACACCCAGAGACTGTAATGCACCTTACCTAATCCCGTGTCATGCCTGTGCTGAGGTTTACTCTGAGTAATGCAGAAATCTCACAGTCCTCACGGGACATTAGCAACTCCTCTAATTAAAGCTAGCAAGGCAAGAGAACATTGTTCCCTGTGGATCTTACCAGCGTGTCCTTGCTGGTGTAGTGGACCATCCATCCTTCTTTCATGACTGTGCTGCTTTTCCTCTTCGTGTGTTTGACAGACTGCACTACCCTCATGAGTGGGATATTGTTGCTTGTTGATGGACTTGAGAAGTCAAAATATTGTAGGGAAAAAATGTTTTCAGGTACATTTTATGTATTTTCATGCATAAAACCTTATGTCAGCTAATCCAAGTGAAACTTTACAAAATTCACATCTCATGTTTAGTAAAACGTATTGTCAGGCACCATGGTTCTGAAAGTGGGTTACTCTGAAGAGTGATAGGCACGTTGTTTGTACACCTTAAAAAATCCTGGCCGGGTGCAGTGACTCACATCTGTAATCCCAGCACTTTGGGAGGCCGAGGCGGGTGGATCACGAGGTCAGGAGTTCAAGACCAGCCTGGCCAAGATGGTGAAACCCCGTCTCTACTAAAAGTACAAAAAAAATCAGCTGGGCATGTTGGCGGGCACCTGTAATCCCAGCTACTTGGGAAGCTGAGGCAGAGAATTGCTTGAACTCGGGAGGCAGAGGTTGCAATGAGCCAAGATTGTACCACTGCACTCCAGCCTGGGTGACAGAGCAAGACTCCATCTGAAAAAAAAAAAAATTCCCAAGGCTGGGTAATAAGCACCTCATATTTTGGGTTGAACTGTATGGTGTTCAGTTTTCAGGTAAACCTGAGGTAGAGTACTTCTTAGTCTACTGAGGCCACACTATTCAGACTCACACATGAAAGCTTATTTGCTTATTTATTTCCTATTATAGGTACATTATCAATCATTTAGAGATTACATTATTCAACATGAATTTTTAGTTTCTCTGCATAATGTCATAAAAATTGGAATCTGCTAGTCTCTGTTTCTTCCTCTCTTCATCCCTCCCTCCTTGTCCCCCTTCCCACAACATGAATATATATGTAATTCCCACCACTGCCCCCCGGCACCATGCAAACTCTTTGGTACTAAAGAAGTGTATGTCTTCAAAAGACAGGTCACAAGACAATTATTTCCCACTATTTAAAAAATGTTCATTATGCCATTAAATGGAAAAAAACAATCATTTTATTGCTCTACTCTCATGAACAATTTGTTTGTCAATAAACATGGCATTCGTAAAATGGACACAAAAGTTTCAATAGGCTTTATAATATAAATCAGAGACTAGGAAACATTTTCTGTAAAGGGCCAGGTAATAAATATTTTAGTTTTTGCAAAAGACCTAACTTTACCAATATAGTGCAAAAGCAGCCACAGACAATATGAATGGACAGGCTATGTTCCAATAAAACTTTACTACAAATTGGGCAGCAGTCCAATTTGCTCTGGTGGCCACATTGTGCTGACTCCTGATATAAAAAGTGGGGATCATCCAGTAACCAAAAGCATAATTAAATAACAGATATAAAATTGCACATACTTCTGAAATAATATCAAGAACAGTGAAGTGTACACAGACTATGATATTTGTAACAGGGGCCAGCTAATAAAATAGATGATTTCTGCTGAGTTTGATCTTGATTTTTGTTGTTTCTACACAATGAGCTTCAAATTAATATTAACTTAGTAATAAACTTGTGGATGGCAAACATGAGCATCTCTCACATGCAAAAAAAAAAAAAAAATAGTTCAATGAATGAGGTGATGCTGGGAAAGAATGGCAACCACACTTCTCCCAGGGAACCCAGACCTCCTAACTTCAAAGGCTCTCATTTACAGCACGCAGTTCATTCATATAAAAGTAAACGTGCACTTCACATTTCTACTATAATCTATTAAAATATCAAAGAGGTTTAAAGAGAAAATACTGCCTGGGGTTCCCCTGTTGGCTGAGGCTGGGAGTGCTGCTCTCACCTGATGGTTCTGTTGGCGTCCTCGTGGTCTGGGTCTGGATCTTGCATCTCGCCACTGTCGTTCTGGCACTCTGCCATTGCCATCTCTGCATCTTGGACCATTGCTTCTTCCATATCATCCATGAGCCCACTGTTCCTTTCACTATCATTGTCATCACTCCCTTCTTCCATGACCACATCAGACTCTGCCCCAGGGCTAAGCAAATCTAGAAAATTATTTTCACCCATGAAGATAAGCCTGGAATCTTGGAGCCAGGGCTTAAGAGACAGTCAGGTGATCCTAAAACAAATCAATTGGAAGCCCCAAAGAGGTAGTTCTGTGATGAGTTTATTTTTTATTTTTTAACTTTTATTTTAAGTTTAGGAGTATATGTGCAGGTTTATTACATAGGTAAACTTGTGTCATGGGGGTTTGTTGTACAGATTATTTCATCACCCAGGTATTAAGCCTGGTACCCATTAGTTATTTTTCCTGATCCTCCCACCCTCCAACCTTGAAGGGACCCCGTATGTGTTATTCCCCACTATGTGACCATGTGTTCTCATCATTTACCTCCCACTTATAAGTGAGAACATGTGGTATTTGCTTTTCTGTTCCTGTGTTAGTTTGCTAAAGATAATGGCCTCCAGATCCTTCCATGATTTTCAATTTCCTTTTTTATTTCAGTTTATATGCATCTGAGTTTATGAGAGGTTGAACATGTAATTTTATAGGTAGATGCTCGTTTTCCGTTTTCCCAAGCCTGAAAACATGAAAAGTCATGAAAAACCTTGGAAGGAAGCCAAAGCTGGGATAGAAGTAAAATGCTAGAAGGCAAAGTGATACCAGGCCCAAGTGACTGGGAAGCTGCTCATATTTTAGAAGCACAGCCCTGGTGGGAAAAAAAAGTATGTAAGAGGATGACAGAAATTTTCACATGAAAAAAGATTCAAGCCACTGATTCTTACTATTGGAGTAACTTTGAAAATCACGAATTCCAATATATTAAATTGGTCACATAGCTGCAGCTTTTAAATAAGACATTTGATATTTGAAGTAATATTGAACCTGTCATTATACAGTTGATGGTAATGGCAAAAATTAAAATTACTTACTAATGCAAAGTACTCATTTTAAAATGAAAATACAGATTAATGAGAGACTCTAGCCTGCCAAGCTTGGAAAATTCACATTTTACCAGATTTTTCTGAATGTATAAGAAAATAGAATTTCAAAGTAATCAACAACATCAAAAACTGTTCTGTATCCCCTTAGTTATAGTTATCCAGTACACACTGACATTCCCTGAGCCTGAACAAAGTCAACACCACATGCCACAGAAAGTGGGACGATCGCCAAGCTTTCAATTTTGGCAGCTAATTCATGAATCTCCAAGCCAGAAACAAGTGTGACAATGTTTTCCTGGAGAGCTCTTCCTTCTTCTTCTTTTAGGTACAGTATATATTTCTTCTAGAGAAGAAAGTTCTAGAGCAAAGATAGTCATTCTTCAGCTTCTTAGCAACAAAAATATTCAACTGAAAGTATCTGTGATCTTTTACAGCCATTTTCCTTTCCAGAGGAATTGGAAAACTGGTATCAGGCTAAAGGTATAAAGACCACTATCTGCAGAAAAAGCTAACCTGGGATTCTAAGTCAAATATTTTGGTAGTGATCCATTAGAATGCTACCCAAGAAGAAAATGTAAGCTCTTTGCTTAAGATATGGCATTTTTCTTAGCAGTCCTTCGAAGTTAATTTATACAGTTAGAGTTTTCTTGAAGGAATATTGCCAAATACAGAAAATACATCTATTTTTTTTTGGCTGACAAAGTTCCTTTTATTATTAAAGATGATTGAAATGAGAAGGACAGAGGAAAAGAGACTGAGAGCTATAACTTGTAGGCAGCCCAACAACATCCACATTTCTGGGCAAACTAGGATAAGAATATAAGATAATAAAACTGGGAAATAAATTATGGCTACCCAAGTTTTCAATACTAGCTGCTCACCATGTAAAGATCATGAAAGGGTCTTTGACTGTTATCAAAACTCCATGGATGCTTTTCTATTGTAAAGTAGAACAAACACTGGCCATAATTTACTTTAGACTGTGTCTGAAATATCTGAACCAAAACCAAAACCAAAAACCCTGACTAAAATTACATCACCACACTCTCTAATATGGAAGAAGCACAGACATGACAGCTGATCTTTTACCTACCTCCATTAATGGTCACTTCGCCAAGGCAGTTGTTTGGTACTTTCGGTGCACAACGTTTATGGCAGTTGAATCTGCAATCTAATCCCAGTGATTTTCAAACAAAACAAAATGAGAATTTGTCATAAAGAAAAGTGGTAACCAGAAAATACTTATGTCAGATGAATGAGGGTGATCAAAGTTCGACAGGTGACAAAATCATCCTTACCTTTGCACTGCAAGCCCTGCCTGAAAAGCCCCTTCAGAAGCTTCTTGCAGTACTGGCACACTGTGGGCCGGGTGTAGGAGTGGATGACAAATGTGTGCGGCACTTTAACTTTAGACATCAAAATCTTGTCAAGGTGAATTGGTCGTCCAATGTATGATTGAGAATTTGACCTCTTCTCTCGACCAATAAACGACTCTGATGGTGATTTTTGCTACATTTTGGAAAACAATAAAGGAAGCAAGATGTAAGAGGCTATTTGATTTATATATTTATATATTTTAAGATACCGGTTTACTCTTGTATTTAGTACTTTGATGTTTAATAATATGAAATCATACTGTATTTCTGTTAATTAATATAATTTACTTGCCTTCCCCATTTCTATTTGAGTTACCTTGCTTGTATAATCTTAAAAAAAAAAGAGAATTGGAGATCAGAATGTTTAAACATGATTTCTAGGTCTTTCAAATAAGTTTTTGCTTTAAAAAAGTGGTTTTAATACAGAAATATAAAGTTGGAGTCAAATAAACAGTGCAAATATTATATCATTGACATTTTTTACAGGATTACATTCACATGGTTAGAAAATGCAAGCATTTATGAAAGACAGAAAATGAAAAGTAAATGCCTCCTGTTTGCCCTACATGGTACTTCATCGAAAAAATGCTGTAATCCCAGCACTTTGGGAGGCCAAGGCGGGTGGATCATTTGGTGTCAGGAGTTCAAGACCAGCCTGGCTAACATGGTGAAACCCGTCTCTACTAAAAATACAAAAATTAGCTGGGTGTGGTGGTGCTCGCCTGTAATCCCAGCTACTCGGTATGCTGAAGCAGGAGAATTGCTTGAACCTGGGAGACAGAGGTTGTGGTGAGCCAATATCGTGCCACTGCACTACAGCCTGGGTAACAAGAGTGAAACTCCATCTCAAAAAAAATAAATAAATAAATAATAAAAGAAAAAGAAAAAGAAAGAAAGAAAGAAAAAAATGCCTTACAGTTCCTTTGGATTACCTAAAGAAAAAAATAAATATGATTTTACATTTTTCCTCAGCCATACAATAAAAGATTTGTATTACTGGAAACAGAACGAATATACTATAAGAGGAATATAAAAGTGGATGTTTTGGATGTAATTTTATCTCTGTGTACTCTTGCCCATCATTTTAGAATTATTTAATCAGCCCAGTATATAGATTTTTAAAAATTAAATTAACTAAAATTAACCATGTTTTCTATGTTTTTGGATAATTTCACAGTACCTTTGATATCCTGGGATATATTTGAGAATCGTCAGAATAAATGTATTTTAGAATCATCAGAATAAGATAAACTGAATTACTTTTGAACCGTTGTTATAATTATGTATCTCATTTATATATCTTAGTTATTAAGTTCCTACTCTAGAGCAATAACTGTATTAGGTGCCTTAAAAGACAGGCCTTATTACCTACAGTTGAGGCATCTAAGCTCATAAAGTTTAAATACATACCCCTGGGTCAAATGCTAGTAAATAGTGCAGCCAAAATGTGAACCTACATTTGTTTGCCTCCAGAGCCCTTGTTTTATCACCATACTCAGTTAATTTCTAATTTTAAATGATTACTGATAAGACAGCAATAAATCACATTTACAAAAAATTTCTATCCTTTTCAATCCCTATCTGTACCAAAAGGTTAAATACTATTACCAAAAGTGAAAACTATTATTTCCAGATTCACTAGCTACAGTAAAAAGAAACTTAAAATGAAGTTCTACACAGGAATATTAGGCCTACAGTTACATTCACAATTACAATTCCATAAAGAAAAACTGTAAAGCATAATTATTCTGGAAAGGTTCAACTCTTGCAGATAAGTCTAGGGAGATTATAAAAATAGCCAAAGGTTTGCCAAACCAGAATCATGAATATATTGAATAAATACTTTCAATGGAATTAAAGAATAATTAAATCCACAGGGTAAACTCCCTGTTCCAGTGTCCTCTAGTAACTGTAGCCAATGGGCCTGTTTTAAGCATAGACTAAAATGAAAATATTTTTCCATAGTTGAAAACTTTTAACACTCAGAATAAAAGATAACCTGATGTCACACTTTGTTAGCAGATTTAACATGTTCTCAGATTTGGGAAATCCTATGAAAAGCTGGACAAATCACTGTTCAGTTACATTCCTTAATTTAAGATACCTAATTGTAGGCTGTGCTAACAGAGCCAGTTTGACATTTACTATACCATGGTGCAAATTCATTAGAAAAGCAAGAGGGAATCTAGTAAACTGAATATTTTCTTTTCATCCAACACAAACACTGCCATAAACTACAAGAACTATAATTATTTTTGAGAGGTTATTTCATTTATTACCTTCAAGGGCAAGATTATGTAAGAAATTTAAAAATATTCCAAGTTTAGGAAAAAGAAATTAGCTGTCACTCTGTAGCCCAGAGACTATACCACACACATTTTCAGGCAATAATGAGATTTACACAGCCAGCCACATGTGTCCTTGGCACAGAATATGTAATTTATAGTGTCAACTATGTAATTTATAGTGTCAGAAATTAAGATTTTAATAGCATTAATAAAGAGTGCCCTCATACCATTCATGCCATTTTAAATTTCAAAATCAGATAGCAATCCAACCAGACTTATCACTACCTTTTCTTACAGTCTGAAATATGTCATTATTTTCAATATGGCCCATATTTCTAAATGAAAAAGTAAAGCTTTACAATCTTGACACAGGGTGCATGCATAGTAACGTATTTTGTAGAAATTGATTTACTGCTGGAAGGAGACTGTTTGAGTTGTTTAATTGTACTAGATAATGAACACCTTGGGAAAGCGAGAGTGGAGAAGCTGACTGAAGTTCTGTTTTCAGTATTCAATTCTATGTTTCTGGGAGTGTATACACACACATTTGCATGTGCTTTCCCTAACATGAGGCAAATCTGAAGTGTGAAAACAAAAAAGTAAGACTGGGTCATTATCTGATGAGTCCCTAAGCGCTTATAGGGTTTTTATCCTTCCTTCAATCAAAAATGTAAAACAAGGACTTTGTTGATACATAACAGATTATTAAAAACACCAACTGGCTATGGAATAAGGCCATGACCCTGTAATATATATTTATCTATATTTATCAATATTTACCTAAATGTTTAAGAACCACCCTTTCTGTAATCCTGCCATCATCCCTTTAAAAATATTTCTTTTTTTTTTTTTTTTTTTTTTGAGATGGAGTTTCGCTCTTGTTGCCCAGGCTGCAGTGCAATGGGGCATTCTCGGCTCACTGCAGCCGCTGCCTCCCAGGTTCAAATGATTCTCCTGCCTCAGCCTCCCAAGTAGCTGGGATTATAGGCATGTGCCACCACGCCCGGCTAATTTTGTATTTTTAGTAGAGACAGGGTTTCTCCATGTTCGTCAGGCTGGTCTCGAACTCCTGACCTCAGGTGATCCACCTGCCTCGAGCCTCCCAAAGTGCTGGGATTACAGGCATGAGCCACTGCGCCTGGCCGGCAAAAGTATTTCTAATGATGTGATCACAAACTAAGACTTAAAGATTTTCAGAATCAATGACATATTTTGTCATTAATAATTAATAATCAGTTGTTATTTTAAGCAAAAATATAAAATTCCAATTATTATGTGAAGTTTTATGTGAAGGCATGTACAACATAAAGCATAATTACAGTATGTTTTTGTTTGATATATCAAGCTACAGAGCAGGCAAAAATTCAGAAATTAATAGTTTTAAAGGAAATGATACTTTTAAAAAACTCACTGATCTTTGCATTTTAAGATAATTTCAAGAGGAAACTAGATAGCAATTCGAATCATAATGCTGACAGAAATAATTGGAACTGTTTGCATGAAATGTATTATACAAAGTAAAGAGATTTCATTATATATCAAGTTTATAAGTTATAACAACTTTGTATGTTTATTATACATAAATAAAACTCAAATTCTTCATTAACTTACTACATTTTCTTGGCTTACTTGTATATTTAATTACAATGTGCACAGTACTTTAGAGTTTTAAATAACACCTTTCTTTAAAGCTAACTATAATAAAGTGAAAATTCTTCCTTACCGTCAACACTATTGAAGGTTTTACTGGGTTTATTAGGTTAACTAAATGGTGTTTAAATTAATTTTCACTCTTAGTCTCTATTCCAATTTGGCCCCATGTATTTGGTGAACCTGAAAAATCTGCAGAATGATTTTTTTTTTTTTAATGAGAAGAGGAGGGAAAGTTGAAATGCTTTGGAAAGTCTGTTTTGTTCTGCTTCATTAATATGTTCAGAGAAAAAAATGGCTCAAAACTTAAAGAGCACATTTAAAATTTCGTTTTTTATAACTATGGGCAACACATATAAGAGAATGCATTTTTTAAAATTTTATATTTTTATATTAGCCATATGTTCTATGAATTGGAGGAGTTTGGATCAACTTACAGGTGTGGATCTTTTGTAAGAATTGACATCACTGTAAAATATGGTAGTGAGATAGATGCATATAAATGATTTGATTTGGCAAATTATATATGATGACAAACATAAAGGTATTTTTTGTGTTAGAAGTGTAAGAGTTAACACATCATGCATGGGAGATAATATGAGAACGTAATGATGAAAGTTGTATTTTGAAGCCAGGAATAGAAATTAAATAAAATAAAAATTATGAAGATCAATTTTTTTAAGTTTGTGGTTTCACAAAGCATCTTTAACATTCTTACACCAAGTGTTTCATTTGAAATTACTGCCAAAGCTGGAACTCTGTGCACTGAACACCTACTCAGAGAGACAATGTATCCTGCTCTTCTAGAGACTGAATTTGTTTTTTAACCTAGTGTGCTAAATTAATGACTCAGCAAGTTTGCAACCTTCCCAGGAAATGATTGCTTAGATTACATTGTGGAAACTCCAACTGCCAGCATGTCTTTAAACATTTAATAGGACTGAAATAATTTCCCAACAAGGTATATTCCACTTAGCAGTTCACAATGAACTCTCTTCATTAGTTAAGCTAGAAAACACAGAGGAAAAGTTGCCTTTACTTGTGGTTTGTTTATTGTCACTTGCGTAAAAAATCAAACATAAAATTCTCTGAGATAAAAGTCACTTGACAATAAAAAATGGCTCAAATGAAAATGTGTGCATTATTAAAATATTTCTGTGCGTTAACTAAAATTCATTTCACAGCAATTCACTGTGTCTGGATTTGGGGAGACAAACTCCCTTTGAGTTAAAGAGAAAGAGAAAGAGAATACTTTAGCATACACGCCAACATCTCTTTATGGATTTGTCTGAATCATTTGATAATAAGCTCCTATGGAAGAACAAAGTCCGTGACAAACAGTAAGCAGTTTCACCTGAGATAAGTGTATGTTTTCAAGAAGTAAATGCATAGGATTAGTGGATGAGACGTTTCAATAGAAATATTTAATATACAGACTGTAATAAAAGATTTTTACAATTTAAAGTTACATAAACTGTTAACACTGACATACTTGCTTTACAGGATTTCAGTTTTAAGATGGGACACCTGGTTAAGGAATATTTTCCCCTGCAAATGCTCTGTACTTGTCTGCCTGCTCCTTGCCCCTACTTCAACATGAAAATCTGTGCAGAACTCTTCTGCTACCAAACTCAAACACTTAATAGGCTGTTCATATTAATGGGTGGCCCTCAGCATCAAGGATGCAATGAGGAATGGTTGAGACTATAGTAATTTGGAGAGGACAGCGTCACTGTAAAACAGATAGCTACAGCTCAATTAGTTCTAACAGCTGCCATGTGAACATGTGAACCCATTGTTGATGGATCTTTTAGTTTTTCAAAAGAAGCAGGGAATCTAGGTGTGTGATAAAATAACTTGATCTAGATGTCAGCAACTGAAAAAAAAAAAATTTAAAAACTTTGTGCCAGTCAATTTATCTGGGGACTAAATCTAGTTGAAATGGAGACCTTTGAGGTTATAAAAAGTGTTTTCTATCATTATCTAGTTCAGCCGAAGACCTTTATATATGCCAAACTATTTTCATAGCACTTTACATGGATTTCATTTATTTATACCTCATGTATAAATAAACTATACATTTTATACAACTATTTATACATTTTATACAACTATTTTCATAGCACTTTACATAAATATCATTTATTTATACCTCATGTATAAATAAACTATACATTTTATACAACTATTTATACATTTTATACAACTATTTTCATAGCACTTTACATGGATTTCATTTATTTATACCTCCATGTTACACCTAAAGAAACTGAGTTACTGAGAGATTAAATCATTTTCCCAAGATCACACAACTTGTAAGTAGCAGAACTACGAATTCAGGTAGTTTTGCTCCAGATAACAATGATTCCTTTCTCCTTAGATCCTCCCCAGCTTTCACATTCCTTGATTTTATGCTAATATAGAAAACAGTAAGTATTTTCTTCCTCTCAGTTAGTCAATAAGGACAACATAAGAGGCAATAAGACAACAAGAATAATCAAACAGTAGTGTGTTTTATGTGCCAAAAATGATATGCAGGATATCATGAACCCCTTAACCTTGACCTACAGAAGAGATTTCTAACCAGCTTGTCTGTGCTTAGATGATAGGACCTGAGTCATGCATGTTTTCCAGAACACAATAACTAGTGGAATAAACAGCTGCTATTGCATAAACATCACTCAGTTGGCTGCCTACTTTCCTATTCAGGTGTTATTATGCTTAAAAGATACTAGCATAACTATGCAAAAATAGATGCAAGCAAATGTTAATCTTTTATTCCAGAAATTTCGAGATCTAGCATTTTGGACTATCATTCAAAGAACAGTGCAGAGTAACAGCTTAAGACAGTTCTCTCCTATTGCCATCGAGATGGATCTATCTAATTTAGCAAGTGTTTCCTGGGGCAAATTTTACCTGAAAGCTCAATTCAGATGCTTCAGGACATATAAATATGAGGAAATAATTCTCTGTGCCCAATTAGTTTATTAGCCAGTAGAATCCTAGACACGCATAACTGTTATTATTGTTGACCTTTATATTTACTCTTTCCCTTTCTTCATAGATGGTTTCCTCCTTATTCTTCAGATTTCAGTTCCCATGCCCCCTTCTCTGAGAGGCCTCCTCACCACCTAACTTATTGCTTACCCCCACTCCTTACTCTATTACTGTCTCACATCATCCTGTCTCCTCCAAAGTCATTAAAGCAGCATGCAACTGTATTATTTACCTCTTATTTGTTTACTGGATTTTTACTGTCTCCCTTCAACAGAATATAGGTTTCAGGAGGGCAGCATCTTTATTATTTTGTTCATCATTGTAACACCAATTTCTGGAATACCGTGTCACAAAGAATAATTGCTGATATATACATATATGAAAGTTCAAAGGAAAGATAAACCATATTCATGGTGGAGGCGAGGGGTAATTCAGAAAGGGGGTTTCCTGAAGAAAAGACATTTGCATAGACGCCAAGGTGAGTCTTGCCATACAATGGCTATGTTGTGCATTATTAGTAATTAAAATTTTGTTTGGGTGTGGGATGGGGAGGAAGGAGGGATGGTTAATGGGTGCAAAAAAATAGCACAGTGAATAAGACCAAGTATTTGCTATCACAACAGGGTGACTACAGTTAAAAATAATTTAACTGTGTATTTTTAAATAACTAGAAGAGTATAATTGGATTGTCTGTAACACAAAGGATAAATCCTTAAAGTGAATGGATACCCCATTTACCCTGATGTGACTATTAAATACTGCATGCCTGTATGAAAATTTCTCATGTAACCCAAAAATATATATGCCTACTATGTACTCACAAAAATTAGATAGATAGATAGATAGATAGATAGATAGATAGATAAATTTTTTTCAGGACACTTCAGTCCTATCAATCTGCAAACTGTCCAGAGATTTCTTTTTTATATTTCGAAACTGTCTGTCTCACTTAGGGATGATGACCTAACCTGCTGTTAGGAAAACACAGTGGTGAATGCTCAGTCCGAGGCTACTTTCTGAAGCAAAAAACAAACAAACAAAAAACGAAAAAAAAAAAAACCCACACAGTCATCTGCAACAACACTACATGAATATATTACCTCTCACACAGGAGTGGGGATTTTCCAGCACAGAGCTCTTTGACAACAGAAAAATATGAAAACCCTTGAGAAATGGAGTTCATATAGGAACGCACATGTTTCCAGGCTCTATAATTCAGGCAGTAGAGAGTAGGGTGTTTGCTGAGTTTCAGGTTGTTTGGTGGTATTCAGATTCTCTATTCCTTGAGCTAACTGTCAAATATCCTAAATATATAGCATAAATAAAATCTAATCAACACCTTTTCACAACAGTGAAACGGTGGCTACAGGGCAAGCAAAAAAAAAATATGTGCCCACTGCTTAGTGGTGACAGATACTGTGTTATACCATGGAGAATCCATTTCTTAAATGTTTACAGCAATTTGTGAAAGCTTTCAAAGTAATAACATATATAATCTCTTACTAAAATACAAGGTGATCTGGATTTGCTGAGTGCTAAAGTAATCGTGGAAGTTACATTAACTTTTATATTGCCTCACTATTTTCAAGTAAACCAAAATGAAGGGTAAAGGAACCGTGATATTTTCTTAAGTGATCTACCCATTGCAGGGAAAGCACCAGAACTGTTCAAAAATTGTTGCAAATTACATGTACATTTCCACCGAAGAAGAAAATAACTGCATGTCAACAACTTCCATTTTGGGACTTTAAGTGTCAGAAAGTGAAATGGAGGGTAAACACATTATGTGGGAAAACCAAGGACAGTAATTTTAGAGGTAAATATTCCCATAGTATTTGACCTTGCCTGAATAGACTAGGACCTGGCCTGGGTTTATGGTCTCACTGGAAAGCTGAATGAAATAGTCTGAAAAGAGACTGTGACACTGATTACTACTGCCTTGGAGACACCAAGCAGCTGGGAAAGTATGACATAAACACAGTCCTAGGCCACAAAGGTGAGAGCCTCTCCCTTCAAAAATGGCCCATAAGGATAACTTTATAGTGTTGCAGGAAATAAGGGGCCGGAGAGACCAAATAGGGGTGCAGGAGAGTTAATTTAAGGTGTACACTGGCTTAGCAGACGTGTCCTGAAAGACTGAGCACCGGACAAAGAAAACAGATGCCTTTTAAGCAGTTTATGGTGGGAACTAAGTGTTGCAGGAATCAGGCTTACAGAAGCCAGAACAAAAGCAGTTAATCATTAGGTAACATTCGTGAGATTCAGCTTACATCTTGGGAAAAACATGTCCTATAACTTATGCTCATCTATTTTGTGACCCTGCAGCTGCACAGCAAGAAGAAAAACAGAAACTTAGAGACCTTACAAAATATGTGGGAAAGAGATAAGGTTAATTAATGTCTTACAGTTTCTACAGAAAGGCAGTTAACATTCTTTTTTAACTTTTACTTCAAGGGGGTTCACCAATGCCTTACAGCTAAACTTTTATGATTTTTTTCTATTTCACAAGGACAATCAATTCTTTAACTTTTCTACTTCAATCCCCCCTTTGGTGCTCTGTATAAATGATGTTTAATAAAGAGCACCACAATTTTTTTTTTTTTTTGAGTGGCTACACATTTTTTTTGAGGCAAGGCCTGGTACTTGGTTAAGGCCATGATTTGAGTAGTAGTATGCTTTGTTACCATTGCCTCTACAGTTGACTGGATACTTTTGATTAATAGAGGCAGGAGGCAAGGGAGAATTAGACATCTTTTAACTATAAAGCTTTTTATTAGAGTCTTTAAATTATTGAAAGATGACAACCATTCACTAAAAAGTGAATCTGGGGACTATTTTTTCCAGGTTTGAACTGGGACATGAGCAAGTTTAGCCATTTTCCCTGGGCCTGCCTTATAAATGCTGTGTTTACCATGTGCTGGCCTCACAAAGTCTTTTATAAAACTGGCTGGGGCTTCTGTTTTTTTGACAGGGAGTCTCGCTCTGTTGCCCAGGCTAGAGTGCAGTGGTGCGATCTCGGCTCACTGCCAGCTCTGCCTCCTGGGTTCATGCCATTCTCCTACCTCAGCCTCCTGAGTAGCTGGGACTACAGGCACTCACCACCATGCCCAGCTAATTTTTTGTATTTTTAGTAGAGACGGGGTTTCACCGTGTTAGCCAGGATGGTCTCGATTTCCTGACCTCGTGATCCGCCCGCCTTGGCCTCCCAAAGTGCTGGGATTACAGGCGTGAGCCACCATGCCCGGCCTGGCTGGGGCTTTTATCTGCACCCTGAAGCACCTTTGAGATTTTTTTTATATTGATTGCTTTTATTTTTGCCATTTTTAAAACTTCACAGGGGTATCTTTTGGTATCTCTGCAGCTGCTGTAGTTGGGCTGCCTTATTTGGGTCCCAGTGGGGGTCCTTTTGTTCCTTGAGTTTTGTATGACTCTGGCATGGCCAGACTTGAGATGGCCTGCCTGATTTTTTTAGCCATTTATTTTAATTTCTTGCAGTTTTGATTGTTTTTTCACAGGTGATACTGGAGGCGTGTATTTATTTGAGCTTTACTTTTTAGAGGCAGGTAGCCTTGGTAAAGGGGGATAAATTGGATTGTAAGGAGGAGGGGTCTTTATTCCCTCCAGTGGTTCTTGCAAAACCAGTTTTTCCTGTGGCTTTCCTTTTGTCTCTGTGTTTGCTGATGAAGTTTTTATTTGTGGTTTGGTTTTTGTTACAAGTTTTTCTAATTTTTTTTTTTTAATTTTGTGTTTACTGGTGAAGTTTTTACTTTGTGTTTGTAGTTGCTAGTGTAGTTGATTTTTTTTTGGCTCGAGCTGCGAGAGTTTGTAATAAGCTGTTAAACAGGGCTGTATTTAGCTATGAGTTAATAAAAGGAAATTTGGTTTGAATGTCTAGACTGTTTTTTGACTTTGGTTATTACCTTAAATACATGGCTAATTGTTTTTTGTTTTTATTTATAGCGCCTTTGGCTGGCCCTTCAACATTAAAAGAGGGTTATTTTAATTCATACAGGGTTTTCAGCATTTGAGGGGTTAACTTGACTTTTTGATTTCCCATAAAGCCTTTTTTAAAGTTTTTTAATATACATTCCAATGGAGTGGGTTTTGACGATTTTCCTCCCATTTCCTCCCAGTAACGACACAGCACATTCACTTTTCCTTTCTTTTTAGACCAATTAGACCTGGTTGGCCTTACGCTTTGCTTAGAGCATACAGCCTCTACTAAGAGACCTGTAGCCTTCTGTATGTCACTCCTCACGTTGCTTCCTTCTGGAACAGTCTTTATCACACACACTCATACACTTCCCTGCTTCCAGCTCCCTTTCCTGGTTGGGGTAGCGAGCCACTCTCGCCACTTCCAGTTTCCTAGTTGGGGTGGTGAGCCACTCTCGCCACCTCCGGTTTTCTTTTCCGAGCTGACTTAGCGAGCCACTCTCGTGTCCTGTCTCTGTTGGGGTGTGAGTTTCATTCAAATCAATGAGCCACTCTTGTTGTCCCCAGCCCCTCTGGGTCAGATTAGTTGTCACTCCCCTGGAGGTGATCAGGCTTCCCTTCTGTCCTTAGGGATGGGTCCTGCCTCAGGGCCCAAACCTTACCACGGTTCAGATGTCTGTGCAGTGCTCCTGATGCCATCCAGGAATCCCCTTTACTGGTTCCGTTGCACTGTCTGGAAGGGCACCGGGACATGGGAGGGCCTATCCCCTTCAGGGCTGAAGCTCTCCCATTGGCACCAAGTTTCCCAGGTCTCCTCTGTCCCGGGGCCTCAGTCCCACAGGCAAAGGAGACAGAAATCTGCCATCTCCAGTCCCGGGTTTCAGCACCAGAAATGTTGCAGTGAATTAAGGGACCAGAGAGACTGAATGGGGGGGGCAGGAGAGTTTATTTAAGGTGTACACTGGCTTAGTGGACATGTATCCTGAAAGACTGAGCACTAGACAAAGAAGTTGCCTTTTAAGCAGTTTTTGGCAGGAACTACTTGATGCAGGAATCAGGCTTACAGAAGCAAGAACTAAAGCAGTTAATCATTAGGTAACATTCTTGAGATTCAGCTTACATCTTGGGAAAAACATGTCCTGTAACTTACGCTTATCTATTTTGTGACCTTGCAGCTGCACAGCAAGAAGAAAAACAGAAACTTAGAGACCTTACAATATATGTGGGAAACAGATAAGGTGTCTTACAGTTTCTACAGAAAAGCAGTTAATATTCTTTTCTAACTTTTACTTCAAGGGGTTCACCAATGCCTATTACAGCTAAACTTTTTATTATTTTTTCTATTTCATAAGGACAATCAATTCTTTAATTTTTCTACTTCAATAGTACATTATAGAATCCTAGCCCATAATACTCAATGTCAAACATGTAGCGCTGTGTGTGTCTGTGTGTACACGCTCATGTGCTTCTGAAACAACGTGGTAAGACCAAAGACTAGATTTTAATGCAACTTAATTACAAAAGAGAAAGAGACAAAAGATAAGAGACTTTTCTCCTCTATCTATCCCACACCCCTAAAAGAGCTTTGGGTTTTAAAAATACAGAAAAGCACTCACTCAATGAAATTATATCACTCAAGTGATATTTTCAGTGCATGGCTACACAAAAATAGATACCACTAAAAACTGGGCTATTTAGAGAAAGAGGCATATTTGTTCATAACTCCCTGACATTGTCTCATCTTACATTTCACTATATTTATTATTAAAATGGCAACATCATCACTCTTTTTGAGAAGGCAAGAAGGAATTCATCTGATTAGATTAAATCAAGTATCAGAATACCATGTCTAAGGGGTTCAGTAAAATAATGTATCTAAATATTTGAAAAGACACAAATATTTTAGAGGCTGAATTTTCTCTAGTTTCTAGAAGTCTAATTTATAGTACCAATTCCAATCTTCTACTCTCCTCTCTCCTTCTCATTATTATTTCTTCTATAGAAATCTTTCTTTTTTTTTTTTCCTGGGTAGCCACATTCATGAGGACATATAAACTGTTGAAGTGAACATAAGTAACCTTTTTTTCATATTTTTTATTTATTATTTATGTATTTATTTTTGAGACCGAGTTTTGTTCTTGTTGTGCAGTCTAGAGTGCAATGGCTGTGATCTCTGCTCACTGCAACCTCCACCTCCCAGGTTCAAGTGATACTCCTACCTCAGCCTTCCAACTAGCTGGGATTACAGGCATGCACCACCATGCCCAGCTAATTTTTTGTGTTTTTAGTAGAGATGGGGTTTCACCACGTTGGCCAGGCTGGTCTCGAACTCCTGACCTCAGGTGATCCACCCGCCTTGGCCTCCCAAAGTGTTGGGATTATAGGCGTGAACCACCGTGCCTGGCCCTTTTTTTCATATTTCTCAGGTAGCAGTTCAGAAGTTATGAGCAGTCGGTAATTAAGGGAGCAGAAACTTAAATCTATCCCAGCCTAGAATATTAGATGGACGCAGATGCCCACAAGTAAATGCCTGCAATTCCTAACAGTGGAAGGCTCTGTTTTGTGTCTTGTCAGGAGTGCTGTGGAGGTCACGGTACCTTGCCTGAGAGTTGCACGGGATTTTCAGAGCTGTTACTAAAAATCCGATTGTTTTTAAGACCTATATATTAGTAAGTGTGAGGCAATTGGTATATGATGCCACCCCCTCCCAGCAGGGTTCATGAAGAACTCTCCAGTAGTATTCACATTTACAATCACATATCTGCAAGGTTTTGTTCAGAGCATGAATTAAGAATGGACATATATGATAAGCCAGACTTGTGGAATGAAATCAGATAACAGTAACTCAAAGCAGGCCTCACAATCTTATTAATTTTACTGAAGGACACTTTCCCCAGAAACTCACTACTGCACATAGTCTCAGGAAGCAGGGAAGTTCTGGTTAAAAAATTTTTGGACATCTTTCCTCACTGAAAGTACACACTGCCCAGGTTTGAATTTGAAAAACTAGTTTGTAGAATCATCAAAGGAAAACCTGCAATTTCTGGCAAATGTACTACATGAGTGTCATGGTGCATATTTAAATGGAAAAATGACTTTTTATTTCAGAGAAATCACCAGGATTCCTGGAATTCCAGAACACAAGAGTTAAGTCTCTACTTCTAAATAGACTTTTGCTGCATTGAAAAATATCCTGGCAAATGTTCATCTGGGCAGTAAGTATCATCATAGTTAAGAAATAGCTTTTTGTCCATTATTTGCTTATTTGAAAAGAAACTACTTTGACTATTATAAAATGTATCAGGATCATATCTAATTATAGATAGAAAATACAATGCTGGTATTCTCGTTTTCATTTTTTAAATAAATGAAAACAGTAACTAAATGAATCATTTCTGAGGGGAGATGTTCTATGAACGTATGCAGCCTAGAGCTCATTTTAGTACAATCCGTGTCTTCATTACATGTGAGTCAGTAAACCTGTATGAAAATAATAGCAGTTTATGGCCAATTGTTATTTAGAAAATATGCAACCTCACATAAAAAGTTAAACTGAATATTGTCCGGATTGCATAAAATTAAAGGATATAAAATGGTCAAATGCAGAGAAAGCTTTTAGAATGAGCGATTTATTTCCTAATGATTTCTGTAAGGTGGCCTGAATGTTAAGAATAACCAAAAAGATTAGGCTAGAAGCATTTAATTCCAAGAAAAAATAAGTTCTCTGTAGAGCCTCTTAACTTCAAAGCTAAATTAGTAGATACCTCCTTAAAGTCACTTAAAAACATTTAAGATAACTTTAGTAAAGTTATTTAATTTTTTAAAAAAAATCCATAATGTAAAAAATGCTGTGTCATCAATTATATCCTATGGTCACACAGGTCATCCAATATCTTAAATTCTGCTTCATTTTCCACCTTGACTTCAGTTCTTTTACCTCAAGAAAAGGTCATTCTCCTCAACTGCTTGACAAAAATATTATCTTTAATCTGGCCATGTTGATTTATTTTCAACATGTCTCTATATGGTTAAGTCTCTATACAGTAAGAGAATGAATGAAAATATGTCTTCTCCATGTGAAAAAAATCAATATGGGAAAAGACATAAAAAACATACAGATCACAGATTAATAGAGGATAACAGTCATAATACATAAAGACTATAAGCAACCAATAAGCAACTCAATGGAAAAAGAGAAAGGCAATTCACCATGGCTGAAATACAAATGGCCAATTAATATATGAAAAGCCTTTATTCTCTCCAACAAAGAAATATATAGTTAGGCACAGATTTTATATAGATATATTTCAAATTAGCAGGGAGGAAAAGCCTTTTAAAATATTGACAACACCTGTTGTTGGGAAGAGTATAAGGAAATGGAAACTCTCATACACTATTTTCAGTAGAGTTAAAAATGTAAACTTTTACACTTTTGAATAACTATTTTTTTTTTTAAAAAAGCAGTATAACCTATTTGGATTCTAATAATGTTATCTACTAACTCATTCAGTAAATAATTTTTATTTTTACTTTATTTATTATTATTTTTTGAGACAGAGTCTCATTCTATCACCCAGGCTGGAGTGCAGTGGCATGATCTTGGCCCAATGCAACCTCTGCCTCTCGGGTTCAAGCAATTCTCATGCCTCAGCTTCCTGAGTAGCTGGGATTACAGGTGCGTGCCACCATGCCTGGCTAATTTTTCTATGTTTTTAGTAGAGGCAGGGTTTCACCATGTTGACCAGGCTGGTCTCGAACTTCTGGCCTCAAGTGATCTGCCTGTCTCGGCCTCCTAAAATGCTAGGATTATAGGTGTGAGCCACTGTGCTTGGCCAAATAAATATTTATTCAGAATTTACTAGTGCTTTTACAAATACGCAAAAAATAGAGATGCTTATTTTTTGCATTATTTCAAATTTAAAATGGAAACAGGAGGACAGATTGGTTACATAAATCAATATATTTCATTGTAATATAATACCAGGAAGCTTATACAAAGACATATACTATATCTACTTGTCGGTATATGGTTTACCTATGCAAGCTCCATGAAGGCGGATAATTTATCTATTTTTGCATACTTGTGCACCTCAGGGTTACAGACATAAAAGTGTAAACTGACCAGGACATGCTGAACATGGAGCAATGGCCAGGTTTCTATAACCATTCTGCTACTTGCACAACTGTCACTAAAACATTTCTCTGAAGAAATTCTGGTCGAATTTCATGCATCAGTTTCTTCCAAGACATTTATAAAGAGAAAAGTCTGTTATCTTTTTGACAAACTAGACGTAAACAAAGTTCAAGAAAAACAGCTCATGCCGAAAACACATCTTATTTCCATCAGGAGCTAGCCTGTGAAGGCCTGGTTGCTTTTAATTTGTACAACTTGCACAGAAAATCAGACTACTCTTCAGTCCTCCTTTATGCAATCTGTTCCCGACTGCAATGTGGGAGAAGGAAGTGAAAAATGTTTCCTGTCCTTCTTTGGCTTCATGCCCAAAGGATTATTTGAAAGGAAAGATACTAATTCACATTTAAAATTATGTCTAGAAGGCATTTTAAATTACAAACCAAATTTACAAGACTATAAAAAATTACACTCACCTAGCTTTCACACTGGACTTATTCTAAGTAGGACACTTTTTGAGTAAGAATGATTTTTCAAAAATAGGAATTTACTATTATTGAAGCAGATGTCTTCATCCTGTAGCTTATGAATCAGAAATCTTGACTCATCCATCTTAATTAACCCAGAACATGTTCTGGTTGTGTTTTCATTAGCTTCCTTTGTTAGAGTTACCGTAACAAGACCATCTTAGAATGGATACTAATAATAATATTTGAAATTTATAGTCCCATGAGGGAAAATAACAGTATGTCAACTCTCAATTGACCAAGGTATAGAAATAAAAGACAGTAAACATTCACAAGTCAACTGACCAAAACAAACCATCACAAGAAGAGCATTGTTGGATGCTCTAATACTTGACCTAAATACTTCTCCTCCACGTTCACATCATTCATTGCTTAAAATAGAAAAAAGGCCAATTTTGGAGGAGGGCTTAACTAAAACCTTTTTTAAAGGAAATTTGTGTTTTTTCCATATATAATTTCTGTCTGGATTGAGAGACTGACATTTCCATTTGTATACCATTTTTAAAAAATAATTAATAGATTGTGATAACACAAAAGGATGGAAAGATCCTTTATTGAAAAGGTAAGTTCATGGGTGCAGCACCCTAACATGACACACGTACCCTAGAACTTAAAGTATAATAAAAAATATATATATATATTAAAAAAAGAAAAAAAAAGAAAAGGTAAGTTCAGGAACTGTAAACAAGCAGTTACAGCCATCTTTAGGCAGTATACTGGGATGGTGTCCTCACTTTGCATGCCTCTGTGGTACCTGGGATCAGGACATAGTTCCAATGTGCATAAGATTCATTTAACATAGCATCACATAAGTGAGGGCTGATGTATTCTTCATTCTCAATATGTCTGCTCAGTTTCATTAAAAAACAAAACAAAACACCAATGTTATGAAATCAAGCAATCACAGGGCAAAATCTGACCTGAAAAACCTAATTCTATTACTCTAATGACTTCATTGCTTTTTGGCTTATTGGGACTGTGAAAAGTTAAACATAACAGGACAAAAGCAAGGAAAACCTGAGGGCTTTCTGTGGGTCAATGTGTTGAATTTTGAGCTAAACTCTGACCTGATTATTCTCATAAAGTCAGTACAGACAATTGTCTGATGTCAGCGTAATATGCTGGTTTGAAAAAGACAGTGAAGCAAATTTCTAGCACCAGGTAGCATTAGTACCTACCTCAAAGCCAGGACTCACAGGAGACTGAAACATGAAGTTGTAAGAGCAAAAAGCAGGCAAAGGTGCAGAATCAAAGGAGAAAAAGACAGGAAAACAACGTTATTGGATGGAAGCAAAGCACATTACTCAATAATGTTTCATATAGGCATGCTTTCAAAAAAAAGCAAAATGTTATACTAAACAGTCTTTATAACTACAGAGATATCTGAGTTGCAAACTACATTTAATATTTAAATGGAACTATAGACACTAAGTAAAAATTGCAAAAATAATTGTGAGTCGCTAGATGTTAAAAAAAACAGCTCTACTTGTCATGGTCTCAGTGATGAACGATGGTTCTTTCACCTCATTGAAAATAAATTATAGTCAAAATGAAGCGTTTTTGACCTTTAAGTGAAAGATTAGATTTTCTTCACAATAATTCATATTCTCAATGGGAAAAGAAAGAAAAAGGTCATCAAAGTAATCAAATGATACAAAGTTGTTATCTGCTTGCAAGCAAGAATAAGCTAATGAATAATCAGTAGCAGTCAGTGGTTTCCAAACCTAGAAAGTCCAATAGCGGGTTAGAGTTTTAAGGAGAAAAACATGCCTACAATGTATTCTTTGCTCATTTTAGAATCTTTGTTGCATATTATTATTTTCTATCTGATTCCGTTCAAGGTTGAAATATAATTCAAAAGCAGTAAGGTTACTCTTAATGATTTTTTAAAAGACAAGAGGTAGTATCAATGAAAAATATGACAGAGCTTAATTAAGTAGATAACACTTAACTGGTAATTTATATTGAATATGTTCTTTTTCATCTCTGTTCTCTCAAGCTTTTGGGGGGCAGCTCTATCTGATAACTAGAAACCAAATCAAAACTACAATATAGTTCACTCTTTTTCTTAACAAAAATGCATGACTGAGCTTTGAAATGTGATTTTTTTGCAGTGTTGAATAAAAGACCTCACATTGAGAAAAATCCTACTATCTGTTTGTTTTGAATCCTCAGTCCTCATTTGCAATCTGCAGCTAACCCATCTTGTCAGAAACTTTGGAAAGTCATGAGCATTTGGACTGAGGTTCTACCAAGACTGATTGGTTATCCAGTATTACCTGCTACAGGCCGGGCGCAGTGGCTCACGGCTGTAATGCCAGCACTTTGGGAGGCCGAGGCAGGGGGATCAAGAGGTCAGGAGATTGAGACCATCCTGGCTAACACGGTGAAACCCCGTCTCTATTAAAAAATACAAAAAATTAGCCGGGCGTGGTGGCGGGCGCCAGTAGTCCCAGCTACTCCGGAGGCTGAGGCAGGAGAACGGCGTGAACCCGGAAGGCGGAGCTTGCAGTGAGCCAAGATCGCGCCACTGCACTCCAGCCTGTGTGACAGAGCAAGATTCCATCTCAAAACAAAACAAAACAAAACAAACAAACAAAAAAAAGAAAAAACCTGCCACATTTCTGGATTGACATAAAGCATGTGCAGAGCTCAAGGGCAACAACCACTCATTTGAAAAGAACCAAACATGAGTTTCAGGGAAAAATTACAACTTTGTTTGCAGGTACTCTTAGGGCACATTTGCATGCAGAAATGGCAAAGTTAGCTCTTTGGGAGAGGAAATCAATTTCTCAATTTCCAAAGTAAAGTATTATCCTTGCTATCTATATATCTGATACCCAAAGTGTATATTTTTCCTCCAGTTAGTAGCCCTGAATCTCTTTTTTCTGGGCCGTCGTCACAATTCAACTTCAGCTGCATGCTGTTCAGCTCATATTTGAAGATGGTCTATGCAACGTGCATTCATTTACTCATTCCTCTAAGTTATTGTTTCCCAAAGTGCATGTACTTCCCACACAATATTAATGCGTTTTATGAGAAAAGGGTTCCATGTTAGAGTGGATTTAAGAACACTAATTTTACCACTGTCAGACTTCTTACTTAGGCCCTTAATTATGCATAATGACTCCTAGGATGTCCAAAATTTGGATGAACCAAGAAGCATTTCCTAATCTTATTTGACCAATTTTTTTTTTTCAGAATATTTTATGGGGCCATTATTTTTAAGAAAAACTTTAAGAAACACAGAGACAGCTCTATCTTTTCATCCTGTTATCAAGTTAGAATCACCAGAAATGTCTATAAATCACCAAGGAAAAGAGAGCGACCTGTTTCATTGGTAGTTGGTTGTAAATTATACCACAGTTTTGTTTTTGTTTGGTTTTTCCCTTAAAGGAAGATCATATAATTACAGTTTTGTATCTGTGATGAAACTACTGCAGGTGACAATGTTTATTATGCAAATGAATACTAGTATCCCAGAATGATGTGGCATATTACTTTTAATTTAGCACCCAAAGAATTTATTTCCAATGTAAATTTTATAGCTCCATTTTCTTTTAATTGACTGATAGGAATCTCATAACATAATGTATTAATTATTATGACATAACATTTCATTCTTTTCTCACATGACCTGTGTTGAAGAATCTCAATGGCTTTATAACTTGCTATTTGGAGATCCATTGCTATTATCATTTTAAAACACTTTTACTGAGGTACAATTCATATGGAATAAAGTAAACACCATTCTAGGTGTATAGCTTGATGAAGTTTTGCATGTGCATAAACCCATGTAACCTCTACCCAGATCAAGATATATAATATTGCCAGCATCCTAGAAAGCTCACTTCTGCTCCTTCCCAGTTGATATCCCACCTTAGTTTTATTTTTAAGTATCTTGCCATAAATTGGTTTTGCTTGATTTGAACTTCATATACTGGATTCATAAGTATGTACCCTTTGTCTGACTTATTTCTTTAAATATCATTTTGTGAGATTCAACAATGTTGCAGAGTGAATCAATAGTTAATTAATTCCATGGCTGTATCATTCATACAATCCATTGTATGACTACACCACTACTGGTTTCTAATTTTTAGCTATTATGCATAAAGATGTCAAAAACATCTTTTAACATATCCTTCTGGGCATGACTCTGTATATTCCTATTGTATATATACCTGGAAGTAGAACTGATGTGTCACACCATATGCATGTGTTTAGCTTTACGAGATAACTGCCAACAAGTTTTCCAAAGTCGTTTGGGCCAATATACAATCCCAGTAGTAGTGTATGTAAGTTTAGTTGCTCAGTATCTTCCCCAGTACTTGTTATTAACAGGTGTTCTTTCAATGACAGACATTCTGATGTAGACATAGGTCATTACAGACTTAACTTTACAGTCCTTGATAACTAATGATGTTAAGCACATTTTCATGTTTATTGTCTATCTTGTAATGTGCTGGTTAAGTATATAGCTATATTTTAAATAACGTTGTCTGTCTTCTAACTTTTTTGTAAATGTTCCTTATGTGCTCTGAATATGAGTTTTTATATGATATATTGTATTGAAAATGTCTTCTCCCACTCACTTTTCTATTCTCTTAATGACATATTTTGATTAAAATAATTTCTTAGTTTTAATGATGCCCAATTTATCAATCTTTTTCCTTTGTCATCAGTGATTTAAATCCTGTTTAAAAAAGCTTTTCCTACTCGAAGTTCTTGTAGATATACTTTCTGTGTTACCTCCTAGAAGCTTCCAATCTACCTACAATTGATTTCGTGTATGGCATAAGACAGGGTCAAGATTCTTCTTTGCCATATAGATATCCAATTGGTCACAGAGATGTTTGCTGAAAAGACCATTCTTTTCTCACAGCAGTTTTTCCCTTGTCATAAATCAGCTGGTCTGTGTATGCACATAGTTTCCGGACTCTATTTCATCGGTTAATTTTTCTGTCTTTGTGTAACAGCACATTGCCTTAATACTTTATACTTAACTTTGTATAATACTACCTTGCCTTTACTGCGCCTTTATAATATGTTTGGCAAGTCTCTGGTTTGTTCTACATCAGGGGTGCTCAACCTCAGCACTATTGACATTTTGGGTTGGATACTTCTTCATTGTAGGAGGCTGCCCTGTGTACTGACCTCTCTGTGATTGGTCACTCAAATCCAATTGCCTTGGTTGCTCTTGGGTGCCTTCAAATAGTGTTTTGTTATGTTATATTTTATTCGGCTTTTATCATTGTCCCTCATGGGAGAGTTTATCTGATTAAAGTTTTCCTTTACACCTAGGAACAGACGTTCTACAACAGATTATTATATTATAATAACTTTTT
The DNA here is from genome assembly GCF_000001405.40 of Homo sapiens. NCBI lineage: Eukaryota > Metazoa > Chordata > Mammalia > Primates > Hominidae > Homo > Homo sapiens. The sequence continues at coordinate 29,660,646 of NC_000014.9, forward strand.
GCCTAAGACTAACCCTTGCCTGGTGTGGGTTCAATTGGCTTTGACTTTTCCCAAATACCACAAGAACACATGTAAATAAAATAAAAAGATGAGTAAAGCATACAGAAATAATAGACTCATTTAATACTAACTTCTTCTACAGTTGCCCAAAAGTCCATAAAACTGATATAATTTGATAAATATACTTATAGATAATGATACAGTGTATTAATGTGTTCCACTTAAGAATCTGCTGAGTTTTTCTTGTTTCCTTCTAATACTGATGATAGTTTACAAAAAAAAAAATCCATGCCCACAGAACTGTTATAAATTGACCACATCTTGGAATTTTTTAAAGATGGACTGTTTTATGGATAGCATAATGGATAGTTTACTGCCAAAGTTGATGACAGTTGAAGTTTGTCATGTGATCTATGCTATTATAATATTTTTTCTATCTTAACATTAGAGAAATCTGAGATTGAATTTCTGTGCCCAAATGGATAAACAAACAGAATTACCAATGTCGTAATCTGTATCTGAAAAAGAAACTTTATAGTCAAAATAGGCAATCATTTATGGAAAATATAACTTTCTCATATTTGAGAGAAAATATACTTACCATGGCAGACTTGCAAAATAAATGGTCTAGTGGCCTTAATGAGCAATGCTGTCTTTACAAGGGTCAGGCCATCATTCTTTTTGGAAATGGAAATTATTCTTTAATGTATATAGAACCCAAAGGTTTTACTATTATTGCTATAATATCACCTCTTATTAGGCACCCACTATAACTTTTAAACTATAGTTATTGGTGTTACTGGGTTGAAAAGGGATATAGGCATGGTACTCCCCGTGTGCCTTGGTCGAGCAGGGTGCTTTTGTTCCCGTATGAAGAAGCGAAGACATGAAAGGGAACAAAGGCAACAGGGAAATATGTGTCCTCCTCAAGGTGGGCCAATGTTTCCTACTTTCTCAGGGATTGGGTAAAAACAAAGACAAGTAGGCACCCCATAAGGACACAAAGGGCTTTGCTGTGTTTAAAACATGATTCTGAGAACCAGTGTGTCAAATAGTGTCACAAACATTACTTCCAAATGCATTTCTCATTTAAAGTTTACCTGAAGGCATTTTACACAAGGTTACGAAAGCTTATGACTCCCATCCCAGTAGCTTTAAAAAGTATCTTGTGGCTCCAATATTTTCTCACTTAATAAATATCTGATTTGATCATAATTTTACAAGCATTCTTGACAAAGTCTAATTTTAAAAATGTGTACTTATAAAATAGATTTTAAGCATTTTACAAAAAAATTTTAATTCACCATTTAATTTCAACATTTTATGTAACGTATCAAATAATTCAAATAATTTAGTGGTTATTTAATTTGGTTACATAAAGCATTATTTTATTGCTTTAATTTGGTTTTATTGCTTTTATTGCTTTTAAGCTTTTATTGCTTTAAGTTGGTTTAAAAACACAAAAATCCGTGTTAAATTATACTTACATAAGCTAAATTAGATTTATATAGAAACCATACATTTATATACATATATGCATAATTTACAATGTTGTTTCTTAAACTTATTTTTAAATGTCTATCTTATAAACATCATGACTCTCAGCAGCTATGCTTAAAAGCAAGAGTAATTGCTGTAACTTGTAAAATCACTAATTGCAAAAATTCAAACTCAAAGAACTTCTGAGCTGAGAAGATGACATAGGATTATTTTAAAACACAGACTTTGACTTAAGCACTTATCAGTAAGAATATCATAATTTCAATTAATAGAACTTCATGGAATAATATATGATCATGCATACATATTCTGAATAGGTATGAAGTTATAATATGTTCTTCTAGTTATTGGTGAAATTTAGTACCTGCCTTCTCCAACTAGGTTCACTTAGTGATGTACTGAAAACACAAGAAACCCCTAAAAGAGAGCCTTATAAAAGAGTATGGGATTTTCCTAATTATTAAAATAATTCATTTCATTTATACTCCTGGTTTACACTGTAAAAAAATTTTGGTGATATAAAGATCGTGATCACAATAAAATATTTTCCAAACAAGTAATTTATACAACTTCTTATAGATGTCTTCAGAATTTGTTACCACTCTCCACTCCAAGAGGGATCTATTCAACCTAAATGTTTAAGTATTTTCAAAATTTTTTTCTCTCTAATTGATTTTTACAGTAACAGGATTATAAAGCATCATTGTAATATCCATCGGGAGATAGAGGGGGTAAATATGGGAAATTTAAATCCTCAAACTATTAGCGTATTTCAGAATGTGTTTTTATTTTAAATAATTCACATAATTACCACAATTTTTATTTTGTTTCGAATGTTTGGAAAATCCAAATTTAACTTTCTTAAGGAAGAATATTAACCATATCCATAAGATATATATATATTTATTTGCATATTTTATATATAATATATATAAAATATATACTATATAATATATATAATATATAAAAATATATATCTTATGGATATAGTTAATATTCTTCCATATATATATATATATATATATTCTAGAGCTAATGGAAATATTTAAAGTGTTAAGTCCTATTTTTCTCACAGGACTTATCAATCAGTTTTTGACAATAAGCTGGCATGTATGCCAGTATGCCAAGCAATAAAGACTTTCATGGTTTCACAAGAGCAAATTTCAAGTTTCCTCCCAAAATAAATATTCAGCCATGCCACAAATTCCTCTAATAATCTTCAGAGAACATTTTGTATCTCTCTGGTTTCCAAATTTTGACAAGCGATGTTTTGCAACATTAACACATTAGTTCGTGCTGCTCTGGCCCTGTGACCACGATAAAACCTCACATATTTTATCATTTCACTAAGCTCAGAGATAAAAGCAAACTCAAAACTGTTGGATATTTGATGAGACACTGACCAATCTACAGCACAAGCCCTGAAGAAACACTGTCATTAACACCCTGGCTGCATTCTCCCTCCTAGCGCCCTGTCTTGGATTGACATTGCTATCACATCACCCCACAGATTTCTCATGTAAATGGGGAAGTGGGTAAACAGGAAGCCATACCAGAAGGGGCTCATCAGGGGCACTTGTAGAGAGTTCAGCAGATGATGTGCGGATGGTGCTGACCCCAGTGAGGGAAACGTTTGAGAGCCTTCTCCGCCTCACACCGCTGCAATTGTTGGGTATTTTAAATGCACATCTCTTATGGTAATTCAGACCACACCCTGGAAAGGGAAAATAAAAATTATTTTTATTGAACCATAAATTAAAAAGTGATTCCAATATTAGTGTAAAGTAGAAATTTAAAAAATAGTACAGCTTCCATTTTCCTTGAGAGTATTTGGAAATTCACATTTTCTTTTGAACATTCTCTGAATTTTTTTTCCAATTTGTTAATGGGTTTTGAATTCTGATCTTATTGCACAAGCTCAGGAACTATGCTAGGTATCATTTTTAAAAATGTTCTGTGATATAACAGTCTTAGGCTTGAAGGGATATAGAAATTAACTCAAATTAGATAATCTGAGCCACTTTTAGCTGCCGTAAGTTCAAATGTGAGTGGACACATAAAGGAATATTAATCACAGCACATCACAAGTTTTAGACAACACTAATTTGAATCTGGGCCTCATAACTTGCTTGTCTACATGGCCTGGAACAAAGTTTCACCTCAGTTTTCTCGTCTCTAAAATGGAGGTAATAACTACCTTGTAGAATTACTAAGAAGATATATAAAGTACCTCACATGCTGGTTTCCACATGGTAGGTGATCAATAATTGGAAACAGATTTCCCACCTAGGCAAGTGTCAGTTTCTTTTCAATATTTTTAATATTCATATTCCCCACGTAGCTGGAGGCCATTACTTAGAATCTCTCCATGTGTCACACAGCAGTCCGGACAGACAAATTTTCATAAAACCAGATTTTAGGCAGAGTTTCTTCCAGATTATTGTCTGCTAGCTTCCCTCTTCACAGACAGAAATTCAAAAATTGTGGATAGTTTATTTGTAGGTTGCATAATAAATGCTCAGTTATATTTGTCAAAGTTCAAAGAACTCTAACCCTGCCCTCCCAATCCAAAGAGAATAGAGTACAATTGCGCCAGTTTTAAAGATTATATCATGGTGTCCTAGCACCTTGAATTGTGCAGTTCAAAGTGTTCTTTCCACATTATGATAAAATTATGTTGTTGGTGCAGAAATGCAGATACATGTTCCAGCTCGCGACTCAACAGCTGAGTGAACTTAGACGGTTTAATTTCCTGAATCTCTGCTCATTTCAACAAATGTGTATTCAATGTCTACTATTCCAATTTCTGACTTATTTACTAGGCAAATTTTATTTTTAGTCGGCTGATAAAATATTGAGCACCATATAGGGGTGAAACATGTCCACATGATAAGGGAGAAAAGATGTGAGAATAAGGGTTCCCAGGTCAGACCAACTTTGTTCAAGACAGGAAACTTAAAGAAATGAACAGAAGAGAATCCATGTACCCCCTAAATGCCTGGAAGATACTTCGGGGAGATACTGCTACACTATTGTAGAGGGCACAACATAAGCAGATAGCTCCATCATGCATTATTTTTTATTTTTTACTATTTCATTAGCTTTAGGTGTACATGTGGTTTTCAGTACATGAATGAATTATATAGTGGTAAAGTCTGGGCTTTTAGTGTAGCTGTCACCCAAATGGTTTATGTTCATTGTACACAATAGGTAGTTTTTCATCCCTCAGCCACCTCTGAACCTCCTGCTTCTGATTTTCCAATGTCTATTACACCACTGTGTGTGCCCCTGTGTACCCACAGATTAGCTTCCACTTATAAATGAGAACATGTGGTATTTGGCTTTTGTTCCTGAGTTACTTCAGTTAGGATAATGGCCTCCAGTTCTATCCAAGTTGCTGCAAAAGACATTATTTTGTTCTTTTTCATGGCTGAGTAGTATTTCATGGTGTATATATATAATGCATATTGTGAATTGTATTCACAATTGCAAAGGTATGGAATCAACCTAAGTGCCCATCAACCAATGAGTGGATAAAGAGAATGTGGAGTGTATACACGCACACACACCAATGTATATACATGTTTGTATATATGTGTGTATATGTATATATGTGTATACATACATAGATCTATGTACATAGGTGTATATATACATAGACTTATGTAATAGGTGTATATATAGATAGATCTATGTATGTATACACACAAAAAAACCTATATTTTCTCAACCAAACGAGTGGATGAAGAAAATGTATATATACACACATATATATGTGCGTATATATATGTATATATGTACCACATTTTCTTTATCCACTCATTGGTTGATGGGCACTTAGCTTTTACGTATCTTTGCAATTGTGAATTCTGCTGCGATAAACACAGGAGAACAGCACACATTTAACTTGCATGGGAAGAAAATAACTTACCTTCACATTTAAGACCTTGACGTACCAGCCCCCACAGCATTTCTCCACAGTGATCACAGAAAGCTGGAGCTCTGTATGAATGAACAAAGAGAGCGTGGGGACGAATCTGAAAGTCTTCAAAGGTGGCGGAAGCTGTAAAAATAGTGATGTTGAAAAGTAAGTTGAATAGGCACTCTGATCTGTAAATAAAAAGTATGCAAGATAATAAATATGCCAGTACGGATATAACTCCCTAGGCAAAGTTAGGGAAGATAAGATGCAACACAGCTTGCACTTTCAGCCATTAGACATTATTCCCAGCCATAGTTTTACAGTTGGTGGCACAGCAACCATCTCTCTTCTCCTCTTCCTGCTTGACCAAGTTTCAGACCACTTTAAAAACAGCCAAAAAAATAGCAGAAAGCATGAATGAAAGTATAAGTACACCTGATTTACAAACACCTGATGATACTTAAAAAATATTTTACTTTTTCTCTTACTTAAATGAGTGAGAAAGGTATTCAAAAATATTAATGAAAAGAAGAAAGTTGATGAATTCAGATAGATCCGAAAAATAGTATCCTTGAGTTTGACAATGAAGAAGTACATTACAGGGTCCAGTTGAAAGATAGATATAAAATATGAGTGGCTTCCTTATATAGGGATAGAGCTGTCTGAACTCTTGGGCAATGTATAATAACTAAGCATTTAAATCATGACTGAGCAACAACCAAGCAGCCACTTCACCAACATGCCAAAGAGAGGGATTTAATACATACGCTGGTGAACTGCAGTCCATTCTGAGAAATACACCTTAATCAACCATATTCATGTTGTAGGGAACTTTTTGGTGTTGCTTACTGTTGCTTATTCTGTATGGTACTCATACAGGATATTAAAATCCATTTTTATTACATCTTTCCATATGATATTTTTATTGTATTATAAAAGTGGTTTGTGCTGTTTTGTTGTTGCTGAAATCAAGAAATAGAAAGGTATCGACAGCGGAAAGATGAGCTTTTTTCTTAGTGTCCTAATGGAAAGTGGTGGATCTTTCCAGACCTATGTGCACACAGTAAGCCTGAGGTTGCGGCTGCACAATATAGCACAGTACAGCACCTGGCAGGCAGAAGACCTGGGGGAAGCCTGACCTTTACCGGAGTGACATCTCAATAAGCACGAGTCTCAGTTTCTCATACCTAAAAAGAGACAGTCTGTCTGATGATGACTTCTCCAGTCCCTTAAAATTTAAACTTCCATTAATGTAAGAACAGAACCATATGAACTTAACTTTGTAAGATTTTATTTTACGAGAATTTTGGGGAAAACTGAGGCCTTCAATATATTCCTTGTCTTCTGCCTTCCTTTCCTTTCCTCCTCAATTCAAATAAGTTTAAGAAATTGCATATCACATTTCCCACTTCAAGATCCACAATATAATTGTCAATGCTTAATCCAAGTAGATCAGAAAAAAAGTGTGGTTTGGGTGCCAATCACCTACTTTGGTGGTTTGGTCAAAATGTGTCCAATTGGGAGAAGAATAAATTCTTTTTAAAATTGGTCTCTCATACTCATGTAGAAAATTTATTTTTAAAATATCAAAGAAAATAATTAAAGAGAAAACTTTATGTCAATTCTTAACTTCTAGCTTCTCCCCTCAGCCCCAAAATCACCCCTCCAGACCAAACAACTATGACAATACTATCACAACGATTAGTTGAATAATTACTTTAGTATTCAAAATAAGCCACATTAGAATTTGACAATACAAATACCAAGCTGGATTCAGACATTTTTGGAATTAATCAGAAGGAATATAAATAATTAAACTAAAGATTTTCAGTGACACTCCTCCAATTTATGCTAGGTAAATTTGTTTTTTTTTTTTCTTTCATTTTTTGAAGAGGATTAACATTCATAAGCAGTTAGCACCCTTGACTTATGTTTAAATGCCATATTTCTAAAGTTCAATTTTAATATTCTCCTGTTAATTTTAGAATAATTAAATACATTTTTAAAATAAAACTATGAAGTGTGGTGAGGTTTTTACATCCATTTGAAATCAAAGCACAACATCCATTCATTATGAATTTACCTGTTCTGCACCCTGGGGGAAATCAGCATTAGTTGAGTGTATGCATGCCACCTCGCCTAATCACAAAATTGCACTTCAGAGATAATCACTTAGCACAGGAAAACAAAGTGAATGCTGTAATTCCATTTCATTTAAGTTTAGGAATCAAAATGGACAGATAAGAATAGGAATATTAAAGTGTCTAGAGATTCCAAGAGAGGAACAATGGGCTATCTGTTAGTCTGTCATAATCAATCAGCCAACCTAAATTAAAACCATATGACAGGGCAACAAACTAAACACAATAGGCCCCTTATACTGGTATTTGTGTCTCTTTTATTTGCTCTATTCACAGCCTATTGTTATACTCCAGTGTGCAAGAGAAGAGAAAATGACATGCTTTTCTTAGTCATTGAGCATTTGAAACAGGTAATTGAGCCAAAAACCCTAAGATAATCAGTTCTTTTATGGTTCATTATAAATTGTTGCACAAATGGAGTAAACTGTTTGGTTAGCAGTACAGAAGAAATAAGGCTTCTGAAGCAAAATAATCTCTGGAGGTCAAAATTATTTGCATAATAAAATAAAATAACGACAGATCTTCCAAGATTTTCAGTACTTTTTTAAAAAACTGGTAATTTTGGCAATGGGAGAAGCATAAACTCTTGCTGGCTATGACAAGTTGAGACTGATATAATGAGAGGAAATGCTTAAGCAATCTATAAGGTAGTTATTATGCCAAACCCCATTTTACAGATGAGAAAACTGATACTCAGAAATTAAGGAGCTACACTAGGTAATACAGAATCTGAACTGAGGCAGTCCTGACACCAGAACCATATAAACTCTCTCAGCCACCATTACTCAACTTGTATTTTTTTGACTATTTAAACACTATGGATTATAAGCTGCACCTTTATTTTATGTATCACTGAAAAATATTTTTTAAAGAGTACAATTAAATACATATAACACACAACCCCTTGTAACATGCATTATTATCTTATAACAATGCTGGGAAAATAAGAAGCCATGAAATAAAGTATAGAAAAAAATTAATCCAGTTCTCAAGATCAAAAATTCTTTTAGTATGCTTTTTGCATGAGCTCCATGTTTAGAAATCCTCCTTTCCAAACAAATTAAGGAAAAGTCATTGGTTTTTCAACTTTTACAAAAGTCAGTGGTAATGATGCATAGGTGAGCTAAACGCCAACTGGAGCTTTGTGTCCACATGATAACATGTCCCCACATTGAATTGATTAGTTCGTCCCAAAGCAAAACATTTTGAAGTTTCTGAAAGCTGTGAAGCTTTGCTGTGGGCATTTTTTTTTTCCTTTACTGTCTAGAATATTGAAAATAGTTTCTGGATACCACTCCTACACAAAATCACATACTTGCTATTTTTAAGGTATTCTGTAGATTAAAAACAAAAACAAAAACAAAACAAAACAATATTGGCTGGGCATAGTGGCTCACGCCTGGGATCCCAACACTTTGGGAGGCCAAGGCAGGTGGATCACCTGAGGTCAGAAGTTTGAGACCAGCCTGGCCAACACGGTAAAACCCTATCTCTACTAAAAATACAAAAATTAGCTGGGCATGGTGGCATGCACCTGTAATCCGAGCTACTTAGGAGGCTGAGGCAGAAGAATTGTTTGAACCTGGGAGGCAGAGGTTGCAATGAATCAAGATCACACCATTGCACTCCAGCCTGGACAACAGAGTGAGACTGTGTCTCAAAAAACAAAAAACAAAAACAAAACAAAACAAAAACCAATATCTTCTTTAAACTTCCTTTCATTCACCCATAAACACACATTATTGGTGGAATGATCACTACTCACAATCAGTTTATTGCATTTGTGAATATCTCAAATTATTAGAAAGTTGTTTTTATTGAGGCCCCAATACACTTCTGTAACTTTTACTTAGTAATCATAATGCTAAAAGCAAGCCTTTAAAAATAAGGCATTTTTATGCATTTAAATGAGCTTATGTAAGTAAAGCAGTCCTAATAATTTCAACCTAACATAGTTTATGTTATGTGTTATTAATATATCTAGAACCTCCTAGGTAATATAGTATATGTTGAAAATAAAAAAAGGACTAAGGAACGGTATCTGTAGTTGAGAGATCAAAGTCAAAATGAGGATGACAGGCCCATGTATATTTATAATACCAAATGCAGGGATGGAACAGAAGACAAAGGGTGGCTAAGTCTGTCTAGGTCTGTCAGGGAACACTTCATCCAAGAGAGGAATTGTACAGAATCCTGAAGGTTGAAGAGTATTTTGAAAAGCAGAGAACAGGATAAAAGAGTGAACATTTTTATATAGTCTTATTTTAATTATATATAACATAGGATTGTCTATATATTTCTTTACAATTATTGTGGGTTCTTGACACTTTATCATCTTTGGTGCACTGTCAGGGAAATCAGCAAGAATGACTACAAATTGTCCATGAGGCAGGGAACTGAGAGATGACAACAGATCAATTTCACACTATTGTGGCCCAGGTGTGTGAGTGTTTGTAAAACTAAGCTTGCACATGTCCATTCTCCCTCCCCATCACCCAATACACATATACCTAACCCCCAAGGTTGGTCATTTTTTCCTGCTTCTCTGTTGATCCCAGTCTCTCCAAGCCAGTTTTAGATCAGATTCTCCCTTCATGCAACCGTTGTTCAAGTTAATCTCACATTTCACATTTTTGTTATACCTGGAAACATCTAGAGTTGTGAGGACCCACAGCTCTCCAACAACAAGAACATTCAATAAATTCTTGCAGAGGGACTTGCAATAACATCTTTCAGATGGGTGCTGAAAATGAAGGGAATCTCCATTTTTGACTTAACATCTGACCAGAAAATTGTTAGTGAGGTGCAATGATGGGAATTTGGGAGGCTGTGAATATATCATCTCAGAGATCATAGTAGCCAAGAGAGAAAAAAAAATGTATTTAGATAGGTTGACTAGGCAGCTCAGAAGTTTCTGGGAAGTTATTTCCTAAGTTTGTGGTTAGAGATTAAAAAAAATATGGCTACAAGAGAAAAAGGTCTCACAAGCCAGACTGAGAACACAATAGCAAGTTGCCCTAATTAGGAAGAAAAGGGACTGGTAACTAGATAAATGTTGTGACTGCCCAGGGAACTGTCTGATGAGCTCATGTTCAGAAAAGTAAAGAATCAACAGCAGAAGGACCAGCACAGAGTCAGGTTGAATGCAAGTAAGTGGCTCCGGCCAGAGAACCACCCTAGGAAGGCCAAAAGAAGGAAAAGCTGAAGCTTTTTAAAAGCTAAAAGAGAACAGAAGGCTTTTCAGCTGGGTGTTTCATGTGGAAAGAATGAAGCAGAGATAGGCCTCAAACTCAGAAATAAATAGTTTAATGCTAACAGACAAAATAGAAAAAGCTATTCAATTATATTTTTGTTTTTATCTTTTCTAGAAAAATAGACCATCTTTAAACTAAAAGAAAAAAAATAGGAAGAAGTAACATATCAAGAAGAAAACAAAGTCTAGGATGGATGAGAAAGGGGCTTTAAAGAAATTATTTTCAATAGGCCCAAATGAATTATAGATGAGTACTTAAAAGCTTATTTTTAACTTTAAGAAAACATCTATCTCAATATCCTAACAGAATGTTGTTTGCTTAATGAAATTATTCTAAAGCCCTTTTGTAAGAAGAACAGAACATATTCTAATAAGAATAGAAAAAAGTAACAGAAGAGTAATAAATAAATTTTGCCCTACTTGATATCAAAATATTCTATAAAATGTTGATATTTTAAAATATGGGTGGCTGTGAAAGATAAAAGAGAGAGATAAGCAGGCTAGAATTAGTGACCCAGAAATCTACCCTATGTATATATTTAAAATATTGTAAGTCTTAACAGAAATCAATGTCAAAGGTGGAGATATCATTTAACAATTGGCCGGCGTGGTGGCTCATGCCTGTAATCCCAGCACTTTGGGAGGCCAAGGCAGGCAGATCACGAGGTCAGGAGATCCAGACCATCCTGGCTAACACAGTGAAACCCTGTCTCCACTAAAAATACAAAAATTGGCCGGGCGTGGTGGTGGGTGCCTGTAGTCCCAGCTATTTGGGAGGCTGAGGCAGGAGAATGGCGTGAACTTGGGAGGCAGAGCTTGCAGTGAGCCGAGATCGTGCCACTGCACTCCAGCCTGGGTGACAGAGCGAGACTCTGTCTCAAAAAAAAAATAAAATAAAATAAAATAAAATAAAATAATTAACAATTAGTAACGATTAGCAACATAGGGGAAAATACTACTTGAAACAATATTTCCTCTCTTATACTAAAATAATTACCTGCTGAGCAAAAAGTTAAATAAAAACACAAAATCATAGAAAAACTAGAAGAGAACAGAGTGAATCCTTATTAAATCTCTGGTGACAAGATGACTTAGAAACAAGAGGTCATAAATCTGCAGTGATGGAAGAAATCAAATGAAAAAGACTCATTAGCATGACCATGTAGGCACTACTGGTTGACTTGCCAAGGAATCATATAATAGTCTCTTTAATTCAGCATAGTTACAGTAGATTTATTTATAATAATTATATATTCTAGGTCACAGAAATCTAATTATGCTTAATAACTCCAGGTATATAGAACAGAATTACTAACATTCAAGGAGAGATTCCCCAGGCAGTTTTAGATTCCAGACAAGCAGGTAACCAGGCCTATGTTCTATTATGAAAATTAAGAAAGTTAACATGTATTTACTCCTTCTCAGAAAAAAAAAAAGAAATTCTCCTCTTCATTTTTTTAAACCAGAAGGATGCACCGGGACAGTAGGAGTGTTTGATAGCAGGGCTAAAGCCTTGCTCAAGAAATAGCTTAGGATCTGTTCATGAACCCACAGAGCTACAGTTAACACGTGAAGGATCCTTTATTTCTTTTCCAGGCAGCTGAGCTCTATGGCTGCTGCAAAACATCTGCTTTAGAAGCAGCAACGCCTCCTGCCAGGAAGATGTTGCTTGAACAAAATAGATACAAACTATGCACAATTATTATCTGTCCATTAAAAGAAATAAATTTATTTTTAAAAGCTTTATAAAAAATAAAGGTATGTTTACAAAATGGAGCCTTTATGTAGTAAAGGACGAGAGAGCTAGAAAATGGGATTATTTTATGCCATCTACCTCCATACTTAGTTGGCCAAGGATACTCTCCTCAACATACTTTTTCTCCAGCCATTTCTAAGAATGCGTCACCGTCTTTCACGTCAATCCCTCCTTCTGTTTTGCATACATACTTCTCAGGCAGCCAGGTTCCACCTGATCCACACCTCAGCTCAGTGTCGCCTATTCTGGGATATGCCTACCCCCACCTGCAAAAGACTGCCCTCTTCTCTTTTCCATAGCGTCCTGGACACTTCTGTCATAAAATGTATCACTGAATATTGCCACCCCTTAATTGTTTATCTGTTCACACATAACATTACACACTGCAAGACCACAACTTCTCTAACTGTGCAGGCACATATTAAAGTGATTAATTCTCGTAGTTAAACATGTTGCTTCCCTGCAGTTCTAAGGCTCTACATTTTATTGAAGTCCTAATAATCTGTAAATAAAGTATTTCAAGTTCAAAAGTAAATTCCATCAGAATAATATCTTGGATCACAGTTTACAAAGTGTCTAGCAGTGCTTTCCAGAGATGTTTTTGCTAGTACCTTTCTATTCTAAGCGCAATATAGTGTCAGTAGTGATAAAATGCATGGACTGAGTGCCAGGGAAGACCTGGACTCTGATCCTGGTCACAGCAAATGCATGACCTGGGGGAAGTTACTTCACCTCTCTGAACCTCAGTGTCCCTTTCTATAAAATGGGCTTCGTGTGATGCATCTCACTGGATTATGAGGAAGACACAAAGTAACTAGTATAGTCCTTGGCATACCGGTGGGAGCTGTCACAAAAAGTTTTTAGCACAAGGATGAAGTGTATGGGCTTTGTGGTCAGAAAGACCTGGGTTAGAATCACAGTTATTATTAATAATAATAATTATTGTCACAACCATCATTACTAATGGAGAGGAATGCTGTTTCTAAGTCTGTTGCCAATTCAGGGCCCTTAAAAACTAAGGGCTATAAAAACTAGTATTATTTGTCTCTTCTACTACCTTATAAAGCCTATGTTTCCACTCCAGAGGAAATTGCTTTCCTATCTACTGTTCTGGTTAACACTAATTAAATGGAGCTGGGTCCATAGGGCTGTGTCTAGTTCCTTCCCTAAAATGAATCAATTAACAGTTGGGAATTGCAGTGGGGAAAGAAGGGTCACCATATCCTGATGTGACTGAATGACAAATGCCACAGCTGGAAAGAGATTAGAGAGCATCTCAGGTCAAGAAAGAATATAAATGGTTGCCCCATGTGTCCAACGTAGAAGAAAAAGAAAATTAAGTAAAAATGTCATGGAGTCAAATTCTAGCTAATGAGTGCAAGCACTGCAGGCACCCTGAATAGAGGGAAAGAAAGGTCAAATCTATTTTTCTTAGAAAGCTCCATCGTGTACAGGAGGCTTTATACCTTTAAAAGGATAATGACCTAATTTACATGAGGAACACCAGCATACAAATTACCTTTAAACTTCTTACAAAAGGTTGGTAGACAAAGGCTAGGTACAGTATTATTCAGAAATATTCTGATAGGCAGCAGGGCTTCTCAGGACAAATAGCATCACTGTTGTCAAATACAATACATTTGCAGCTAGAGACACAGGGACGAGGTTCTATGTGCTTTACTTCAGGTTGCTTTAAGTCTCACTGTACTTTTCATAGAAACAGATGCTTACTTTCGATTCATGAACAACAAAACCTTGAAAAGCTGTGAAATAATCAGGGTATACCCACTCCAGAAGAAGAAACAGTTCAACAATTGCTGAATCCAATTCAGCGCTGTTGGCCAAGGAACCTGCTGTGTGCAGGAATTGTCCCGGCTGTGGCTCAGGGGCACTGAAAGGAGGGAACTTGGTACTTAGAGACTCCCCCTATTCTTCACGAAGATTCATGACTTCATGAAGCCGACTGATTCAGTTGGTCTGCTCTGGTTCATTAGAATAAAAGAAGAGCTTTAAGAAAAATCTGATTTTCTGCTTTTCCATCAGGTTTATTGAGATAATAACTTATATAAAGTAAAATGTATTCCTTTTTGTGTACATTCTTGACAAACACATACATACAACTCAAGACCAAAATTGAGATACAGAACAATTCCCAAATTTTCTGTGCCCCTTTGTAGACAATCGCTTCCCCATCCCCATTCTTCTGACAACCACTAATTTATTTTCTGTCCCTTATCTAATGTATCATAGACATGTAACCTTTTGAGTCTAGCTTCTTTCGGTATAATGCAAAACACTTTTACACTGTTGGTGAGACTGTAAACTAGTTCAACCATTGTGGAAGACAGTGTGGCGATTCTTCAAGGATCTAGAACTAGAAACACCATTTGACCCAGCCATCCCATTACTGGGTATATACCCAAAGGATTATAAATCATGCTGCTGTAAAGACACATGCACACGTACGTTTATTGTGGCACTAGTCACAATAGCAAAGACTTGGAACGAACCCAAATGTCCATCAATGATAGACTGGATTAAGAAAATGTGGCACATATACACCATGGAATACTATGCCACCATAAAAAAGGATGAGTTCATGTCCTTTGCAGGGACATGGATGAAGCTGGAAACCATCATTCTCAGCAAACTATCGCAAGGACAAAAACACAAACACCGCATGTTCTCACTCATAGGTGGGAATTGAACAATGAGAACACTTGGACACAGGAAGGGGAACATCACACATCGGGGCCTGTCGTGGGGTGGGGGGTGGGGGGAGGGATAACATTAGGAGATATACCTAATGTAAATGACGCGTTAATGGGTGCAGCACACCAACATGGCATATGTAACAAACCTGCACGTTGTGCACATGTACCCTAGAATTTAAAGTATAATAAAAAATTTTTAAAAAAGTAAGTCATCTACATTGCTGTAGGCATGCATAGTTCATTACGTTTTTGTTTTTTTTTTTTTTTTTTTTGCTGAGTTGTATTTCATTTTGTAAAGATTCCACTGCTCATCCATTCACCAGCTGAATTCTTTCAGCGGCATCAGTTTACTCATTCACCTGGGAATTAGGGTAGACGGTCAGCTAGGATTTGTGGAAAGTGGAGATCAAGTCAAGAGTAGTAGGCTCCGAAGAGGTGGAGGTCAAAGGAGTCTCGCTATGTCGCCAGGCTGAAGTGCAGTGGCGAGATCTCGGCTCACTGCAACCTCCGCCTTCCAGGTTCAAGCGATTCTCCCGCCTCAGCGTCCCGAATAGCTGGGTTTACAGGCATGTGCCACCAAGCCCAGCTAATTTTTGTATTTTTAGTAGAGACGGGGTTTCACCATGTTGACCAGGATGGTCTCCATCTCCTGACCTCGTGATCTGCCCGCCTCGGCCTCCCAAAGTGCTGGGATTATAGGCATCAGCCACAGCGCCCGGCCAAGTTCAGTTTTTAACCTGTTTAGTACAAGGTGCAGCTGAGAAAACCGAGATATTAAGGTAGGGGTGGATGAAAAGTAGGCAAATAAATACATAGGATACACAGTGAAGTTTAGATTTAGAGTAGGACATGGACTGTAGAGTTAATTTGGGAGTCATCAGTGTCACAATAGTAAATAAAGCCATGTGAATTTATGAGACCCTCTAGAGCTCTCATTTCCAATATGGTAGCCACTGGCCACATGTTGTTATTCCAATTTAAATTAATTACAATTTAATAAAATTAAAAATTCGGTTCCTCAGTCACACCGGCTACATTCAAGTTCTCAATAGCTACATGTGACTAGTGGTTACTATATTGCAGAGTGCAGAACATTTCCATGATTCCAGAAAGTTGAACTGGACCCCACTGCTCTAAAGAGAGAATTTAACAACAACAAAAAAATTGGACCATATAGCCGGTATATACAACATATTAATTTTTCTCCATTTATTTGATAAGCTCAGTTTAATTTTTATTCTTACATTTTATTATTGTACTTACTGAAATTGGCTAACACTTATCAAGCACTTACTTTTAGTCAGATTCTGTGTTAAACATATTATTAATTTTATTTAAACCCCCAAACTCTGAAAATGAGTGCTATTATTTTCCCCTTTTTACAGATGATGAAATTAAGGCTTTCAGTATGGATAAATTAGGCTACAAACTAATAATAGGGAATTTCTGGAGAACAATTTAGATCAATCAGAATCCAGGCCTACACATGAATTTTCTAAGTAAGCATATCAACTGCAAATAAGTATCACTTTGTCCTTCTCCAATATTTCTACTTCATTTCATTTTGTGGTGTTAACTCCATTTGCAAAGAACTTCCTACAGAATGTTAAATACTAGTAAAGGTAAAGGCAGTCCTGTTTTTTGTTGTTGTTTGTTTGTTTTGAGACAGGATCTCCCTCTGTCACCCAGGCTGGAGTGCAGTGGCACAATCTCGGCTCACTGCAACCTCCGCTTCCCAGGTTAAGTGATTCTCCTGCCTCAGACTCCCGAATAGCTGGGATTACAGACATGTGCCAGCATGCCAAGCTAATTTAGTAGAGATGGGATTTCACCATGTTGGCCAGGCTTGTCTCAAACTCCTGGCCTCAGGTGATCCACCAGCCTTGGCCTCCCAAAGTGCTGGGATTACAGGCTTGTGCCACCGTGCCCAGCCCAGTTCTTCTTTTCTTAACCTTGAATGGACTGTGCCTTACATTGTATAGTTAAATATGATGCTGTTGATTTGAGTTAGTTATTCCTTATTATTTTAAAAGGGGACATTTTTATTTCTAACCAATGATTTTTCACTAGAAGTTGATGTTGAATTTATAAATAATTATAAAACTCATGATAGATTATAAAAACTGATTCACTGATAATGTCAAATCATCTTATTTCTAGAATAACTTACTTGGATATTTTATATTATTCTTTCGTAAGCTTATTGATTCCATTTTTCCAAACATTTTATTTAGAATTTTTGCATCCAGGAGACAAAAATAAAACATCATTAATTGCATGTAGGCTCTGAATTCAGATATCCCTGGAATTTATGTACAACTTTGCTACTAACTTGAGGAGTTAGTAGCAAATTCCTTAATGTCTCTACATCTTGGTAAAAGGCTCATTATCAAGCCTAGTGAATACTAAATGCTCATAAACATTAGCCATTCCGTAAGTGGAAGGATCTATAGTATTCTTTCCTTTTCTTGTACAGTCTTTTTCAGCTTTTGATAGTAAAATTCTGGAATGTTTGAATAATTTATTAGACAAGTTTTTTTAAATTGTATGCATTCTGAAACAGTTTCTGCTTGTGTTTGACAGAAACTTCACCTAAGATTTCCTGAAACAATGCTCTTTGGGTGGGAGGGGCAGGTGGGAACTGGGTACATATTAAACAAATTTCCAATTTCAAAGTGTTTCAAAAGTTTCAAACTCAAATTTCAAAGAGTATGTGTGTGCACATATTAGGGCAAAGAGGACATTCCAATAACTTTTCACAATCTAAATCATAAAGTAGGTATGTTTTTAATAAAATATATTTCAATACTTAACTAAATTTAATTGCATCTCTGATAAAAAAATGCATTTTAACATATATATGCAGGTCTAAATTAATAAACCGTGATTATTTGAGTCACAATGTAATTAGCACACATTTAACATGACAATCCTAATTTTAAAGCAGAAATATTATTAGAAATGATAAGCATTAAAATAAATACTAAAAACAGGGGACAATGTGTATACTAACTTCCAGCTTTAGGTAAGTAAAAACTTTCAGCCACTATTAAAAGCTGCCTGTTAATCAGAAGGCCACAGGGCAATCACTTTCTTGGACTCTTTTTAAGTATTTGTCCTAGACAAAAGTGATAAAGAAAAAAAGTATAAAACTCTGAAACCAAACCATGTGCTTCATTTATTTTGTAAAAAGCTGATAAAAATGAACCTAAAAATGGAAATTTAAGATGGAAGAAAATTTATCTGATAATAAGCAAAGAATAGATTAAACATGTACCATATGGCAACTTTAGCCCATCTTCCTAAAGTGTGCTGTAAACATAACATTAGCATAAACGATTCTGAGCAAAAATGTTCCAAAAGGTGATTTTGCCTGTGGGTTTTTACATTTGGTAGAGCTTTGAAGTCATTTTCAAAAGCCATTGTTCTCAGCACTCAAAGATTGCATCTAACCTTCAATTTTTTTGGCTCCTTCCACATTTACAGTGACATTCTCTGGATTATTTTGACACTCAGCATGATAAAACTAAACAAATACAGCATCCTCCAGCATATTTAAAACAAAGTGGAATTCATATTTTATTTAGTAGATTCATAGTCAACCTTCTAGGATTATATATTCTAGCTAAAGAGCTGTGATAAATCTAATAACAAACAAGACAGGTCAAGTAAACTATAACACAATATAAGTGAACACGGATTTGGAGACTGTCAACATCAGGAAGAGATGCAGGCAAAGAAAAGGGAGGGTATAGAGAAAGATTAGCTGTAAAAGATGAAGGAAGGTACAAATCTTTTTTTTTTTTTTTTTTCTGATCTGGAGTCTCACTCTGTTGTCCAGGCTGGAGAGCAGTGGTGCAATCTTGGCTCACTGCAACCTCTGCCTCTCAGGTTCCAGCAATTCTCCTGCCTCAGCCTCCCAAGTAGCTGAGAATACAGGCATGCAACACCACACCTGGCTAATTTTTGTATGGAAGGTACAAATCTTGGCTTGAACAAGAAATAGAATTTCTTAGGTAGAAACACAGTGGAATAAGGCTCAGAAGAAGAGACAAATGTGGGAAGTGAGGGGTACTGAAGGAATCAACATCATTGCAAAGGAAGGTTAATGAAGCTAAGGAGTGGTAAAGACTGTGGTTCAGTCGTTTGGAAGTCACTGGTGGACAACTTTAGTATTTCAAGTTGAGGCTCTAGAATGCAATAACATAGTCGGAAGTCTTTAAAAATGTACTGTCATTTATTTTAGTTAAAAGTATCACCCATGTAAAAGAGCACATGTAACATGTGCAATTAAAAAAATAATAACCCCCATTGTACTGTCCATACCACTAAAGTAAAGGACATACCATTATCTTTGAAGCTGACTTGTGATCCCCTCCCCAACTACGTGGATTAAACAGAGAAGTGTCAGTGTCTAGTGAGTATTGTTTAGGAGGATATAATGGGAGGTGCAGAAAGAATAGACACACTTTAGAGACTAGTAAGAACCCCGGATGGTTAAACTAAGAAAGCAACAAGAGGAATATATAAGAAAGAAAAAAACCTACAACGCACTATTATGAAGTACAGAAAGGCAAATATGACTCCGTTTGTTGTTTATCTTGCCTCTTTGTTTATTGTTGGAGTTGTTTTAGGTTGGCTGATTTTTGCATGAAAGAAACAAAATACTGGTACTACTAACAGAAATAAGAGGAACATTTGAAGGGAAAGCCCAAGTTTTAGACCCACAGTTGAGGGAATAAGACATTTAAGTGTGAAAACTCCATCGGCAGAAGCAAATTTAAAATGAAGCCAAGGTGAAGACTAGGGGTTCAAGAAACAATTTCTAAAAACTGCCTGTTGATGAAAATGAGACAAACGAGTCTTTTGAGATGTAAAAAGTAAAGCATAGAGTTCCGATTTGAGGTTGGAGGGCTAAGAAAGAAGTAGATGGAGGAATTGATTGTAAGATGTGAAAACACGCGGAGGAGGAGAACCAGGAGCACTCAGTGTCACAGGTAAAGAAAGAGGAAAGCCTTTGGAAAGGGATGAATTGAGTGGCCTAAGAAAACACTTCTATATTTTTTACCATCTGGTTAGTTACAGACGCTTGTAAAAGGGAGCGAAGGAGCAGAATCCAGCTTACTGCAAATGAGAAACAAAAAAGGTGACAGAGAATAAGAAATGGTCTAGGAACTTCTTCCATTATTTAAAACTGTAAGAAACGCTTGTGTTGTTTTAAGCCAGTAAGTTTCTCATCACTTGTAAAAGCAGCAAAAGAAAATTAAAATAGACAAGCACTGTTTGATTTATTTCATCTTAGCTCTGTCGAGTTCTATATTGGTATTCTGGGACAAATTTCCTGGTGCAAATAAAACAAAGTTTTCTTGTGTCTTTAAGTGAGCTTCCTGGCCCTTTCTGTCACTTCATGAAAATGAGAATATGTGGTGAGTTGAAAAGCTCAAGAAGCAAAAGGAAAAAAAAAATAGGAGAAGTTAGATTACTGGAAAATTTATTTTGCTTCTGAGTAATCAGTTTTATTACATTTATGTGTTTCCATAACTGAGATGAATAATATTGTCACATGGGATGAAGGGAAGAATGAATAAGCTGTCTGTGTCACTGTTATAAAGAATGTCTGCATGGGACCAACTCTCCCTCCCTCATGTACCAGTCAATGCTTGTTTAAAATGGCCTATGAGCAGCATTATTCGCCAATGCATCCTGAGGAATATGAACCAAGTAGAGGCATTTATTATGCTGAAATTATTAGAAGGGCACTTAGATATGTTAAGTAACTATACACTTAAATATCTTCAAATAAAATAATAAACTGAGAAAGTTACATTGTCATAGTTACATTGTCCTGTGTAAAAACCAAGCTCACTCTCATGGATCATAGCTTTAATTCTGCTCTTTTGATTCCAATATGCAATTTATATTTCAGAATTCACATACTTAATGGTAAAATGCTTTTAAAAGGATTAGTACAAGCCAATAATACTAACAGTATGCTGAGAAAATGAACAGTTAAGCTTTCAAAATTGCTGAGTATAGATAGCAATTCTCAATTACACTACCAATGACATTTTCCCTAGCAAAAATGTACACTGCATCCAAAGATAATGAACAAGTGGAAAGTGAGAACTAGAAAAATGGCCATGGATGATTGCACATAATTTGATATCGACTGAATCATAAAGTGTATGTGTCTGTATGTGCTAGTATTCTTGTAATTAAGAATTTAGGTATGCAGTTTGTTTCCTGGTTTTTGTTATACTAGGTCATCCAAAAATTTAAATGCCACATCTGGGAATATCAACGTGGCTTGGTGACTATGATGCACTTATTTACTTAGCATCAGTTACAGTGGGTATACTGAACTATGCACTTTGGTAGGAGAGAAGATACAAATGAGAAGAATTTCCTTTAACCTCTATCTCAAAGATCAAAGACTTTATCTAAAGCCTCCCTACTACTTACAGTATAAATCAGGTTTAGAGTCTCATTAACATAATTTTATTCTTTTGTAACTTTGGAATATTCTGAAAAATTAGCTTATATCCTTCATGTAATTGTACCAGACTAACCTTCCCCGAATCCCACTTCATCAATATCCCTTCCTTGCTTTATTAAATGGCTTTATGTTTCCCACTGCATTATTCATTCAAAAAACATTTTTTGAACAGCAGTTACAGGAAAGACACAGTTTTAGGAAGCAGCAGGGAAACGAGAAATAAAATACCGTTCAAGTGCTCATGGAACTTAGGACCTAATAGAAGATAAAAAAATGTATAAACACAATTATAGGTAGAATGGGACAAATTCTGTAAGAATAAAGGGGCAACTTCATGCAGAACTTGGCTTCTCAGCTGAGTCTTGAAGGGTAAATGTGGTGCTTAAAATGCAAAGCTGGGAGGAGGCAGGCATTCTAGACAGAAAGACATGCCCAGAGTCAAAATGCAAAGGGCAGTTGAAGGAGTGTCAGTCATTCAGTTTGGCTGGTTAACAGAATGACCAAAGGATATGTGTGCAAGTGTGCCAGAGCAAAGCCGGAAGGGGAGCCAGGCCTTGTGTAGAGAGGCCTGGGTGCCTGCTTAAATAAATAATTCAGCAGATAGTGAACGGGAAAGCACTGGAGGCTTCTGAGTAGAGATGGTGTGAGATCATGGCCAGGTTACTGGAAGACTGATGTGCAGGATGGACTGTAGAGAGGAAGGATTGCAGAGAAGATGGACTACAGAGCAGTGAGGACACTGGTCAGAAAGAGTTATAGGGTTACCATATGGGGCTGTAGCAATAGAAACAGAGAAGAGAAAACTAAATGCAAGCTATAGACTTGACGATTAATATGGCGAGAATTGAAAAAAGCGGTCAACAGTGACAATGAGCCCTTACAACTGACCAGGAACCAACTGGTACCACTAATGATGAGAAATCACCAGCAGGAGATGTGAGCTGAGCAGAAGGAATGATGGGTTCTGTTCTAGATATGTTCAGCTCAAGTGCCAGTGGGATATCCAAGTGGAAAAAGTCCAGCAGATGGCTAAAAATGTAATTCAGGACAGAGGTTAGGGGAAAGAGTAAAATTGTTCTTAAAGACATGTGTGTGAAAAAATCACCAATACAAAGAAGAAAGAAGCCAAGTGAAGTTCTTCTGAGCCACGTAAAGAGCCATAAAAGAGGAGGCAAGAATTCAAGGGATGATAAAAGAGAAGCAATATCCAAATAGAAGGGTTTAAAAATACTATCAAATATGGAAAAGATGACTACTGGGTAAAATATGGGCTGAAAAATAGTACAATGTAACATTATTATGCATATCGCATGGCATGGCTACACAGTGAAAATGCAGGCCCTATGTTAAACACTTTATATGTTAGATCTTATTTAATCCTGACCCCAGACCACAGCCAGGTTGATTTTTGTGTCATCGTCAATCAACAAATAAGAAATCTAAGGCTTTTGGAATTTAAAGAGTCTGTCCTAGGACATAGTGTTATAAATATGGACAGAGCAGAAATGAGCCTAGTGGTATCTGAACCCAATGGCCATTTTCTCACAATTAACAACAATTAACAAACCCCTTATGCCCAAATGTCTTAATGCCGTGGGATTTCCTTAGCTAAAATGTCCCTCACACTCTTCAAAACCAGCCCTGAGAGTCTAGTTCAAGAACCATCTTTTCCAGGAAGTCTCCCTAGACTCTTCCAGTATTTTTTCTTTAGAATGGTTTTTTTTTTTTTTTTCTTTTTTCTGAGATGGAGTCTCACTCTATCGCCCAGGCTGGAGTGAAGTGGTACCATCTCGGCTCACTGCAACCTCTGCCTCTTGGGTTCAAGCGATTCTCCTACCTCAGCCTCCCGAGTAGCTGGGATTACAGGTATGTGCCACCATGCCTGACTAATTAGAGATGGGGTTTCACCATTTTGGCCAGGCAGAATGTTTACAGCATTTGGTCTTTGAGACATAGATAAACATTTAGTTATATGTCATGTCCTATATTTTGTACCAGTAATTTAAGTCTATTGTTCTTTTCTGAACTAAATAGCTATCTCCTTCAGACATTGTTATCACCTTTTATATTTCTTCTGTATCCTAAATAGCAAATTGTTGTCAGTGAGTGAAACAGCATGCCCAGTGAGGAAATATTTGTTTTGAATCAACTCATGTCTTCAGATTCTAAATGAAATCAAAATTGCACTGAGGGTTAATCAGGCAGAAATGTCCCCAGCTATATGTGTTTACCAAGATAATTCTAAGACAACAGAAGGATAGTCTCAGTCTGCTAAAATGTGCAGGCCTGAATGGACAATGACTAGGAAGGACAGTGTTCATTGGGTAGGGCTAAGGCAGGCTGTTCCTCAGTAAAAGTTCTGAAAATATACTTGGCTTCTCCTGCAGTTATCACATCCCTGAGACTGTTAGCAAATTAAGGCATGCAATTTTTCCAGTGGACTAACAGTTTAAGCTTATTTTAGATGGTTTTCTTGCTTTTCATGCTTTGATTTCTAAATTCCAAAAGACCCTTTTCCCCCTTTATAGGGAGTATTCTACAAAAAGCATATCTCAAACAAAGCTTTACTATTATTATTGTTTGTAGGATGGAGTCCTTCTTTGGTGTAATGTTTAGACAAACTCTAAAATGTAATCCCTCAGATTCCCTGGCTTATATCTATTTGGCAGCATTTCTCAGGCTGCAGGGCCAATGTGGCTTCTTGCCATTTCCCATTCAAAGTGCAAAGAGTGGTCCACTTGGTAGAAGCTTGACTGCCCTTGGGGATAGGGGCACCTTATTTGTATACAGAACATCTAACTTGATGACTGCTAGGATGTATGTCTTTCCCCTGCATTGAGTGCTTGTTTTCAGCTTGATTAAGTATGCTCCACTATGTTATTCCAAATGTATTTGAGAAAGTGAATGCCAAACTAAATGCATTTAAAAGCGTGTTCCTTTCATCATCTGCAGGGAAGCTTCATTCTGATAAAAGGGATAGAATAGCACATTGAAATATCTGAAAATCTTTATATTGGTGAAAAAACAAAGACCACTGCAAGGGAAGCTGATCTTCAAAACTCTTTTAGGATAAGAGGAGCATATTATTCAATTTTGGCCTCACCTTATTTGAGATTCTTTGAACTGAACAAAAATGGGGATGGTTAAAATTCCAAATCTTGAGATAGACATTCTAACATATTTTCCAGTAAAGGTGATACATTTTTGGAGGCAAATAGTATTCTTTGTGGATCTTTGGTTTAATATTTTAGAAAGATGAGCAATTATAACTCAAAGAATGAGCAAAAGATGTATCTTTATCCTCATCTGTGTGTGTGTGTGTGTGTGTGTACAGTCTTTTCTATGCAATACTGGACCAGCTAACTATAACTCAAGTTCAGATGTTTATGCTTAGGAAAAAAACATTTCTATTTTGGACTGTATAAGCTCTCATCAGCATTTAGTTTTAGAAATAGAAACTTTTTTAACTCAGAATTTCTAACAGTAAGACAGATTCTCATTTTGATGATGATAGCTGATTTGGGGAAAATGTTTATTTCCATTTTAAAGTCTTCAAAAACGCACATATAATATCTTTCCATAGTAACAGTATTATAAGGGGGGAAGACACGATGCCGTTTTGGATTTAGTTTGCACAATTCTTATAAAAGGCTTCCTACTTTCTTTAATAGTTTTGTGAAAATCCTTTAATAGGATACAGAGGCCCTGTCCCACTGATAGCTTGAAACCTCTCTTTGCCTTCCTCTTTTTAATTTGAATCATTTTGGGTTCTTCCTTGTATAAATGGAGAGAGTGCTCCACAATTTGGCTGGTGATACATTTGACGTGCCCGATTCTGACTGGATGGACTCGCGAGCACCAGGATCCTCAAACAAGGCCTGGGGTGGAAGCGTCTGGGGGAATGACCACAGGCAGTGTGTCAGTTGGGAGTGAGGGGCTTTAAGCTCTACACTCTGGCATGTTATCTAGCTACTCTTGTTAGTCAACTGACAACTGTGCTTCTTTAGCTATCATCTCCACACTCAGGGTGCTCCAGGTACCCAGTTCTGATGCCTGCATTATTTTCCCATTGTCAGTGCTAAGATGTCAGCTTTCCTTCTGGAGGTTCAGCCTCAGAAACAAAACTGGGGCTGGGGCCTTGCTATTGTCTGATACACGTTCTACTCTAAAGAACGCCAGTTCTTAGATTCCAGGTTGAGGGCTTTGCCAGTATTCCATGTGACTCTACTAGCCCCCTACCAGGTGTATGACCTTAGATGATTAGTAGACTGCTCTATACTTCAGTTTCTCCATCTGTAAAGTGGGAGTGATAATCACATTACTTGCTTAATGAAACGTTTTGAGGATTACTTGTAACATGATTAAGATAGTCCTTGGCACACAATTAAGTACTGTAGAAGGAAATACATTATTTTCATTGCCGTTCTCGCTACTTGAGGTTAGGGTTGATGCAGATCACGGCACAGAACTTAACCACTACCTGACTGTTAACAACATACCATGACTTTTTTGTCAGAGCCTTCTTCCACCTAGTTTCTAAAGCTCAGTCTGTTTTACTTCATTCTCCATATCCTGCCCAGGTTGCTGTGGCTTGCTGGCCTAAGTCCTCCTGAGGCAAAGGTCATGCTCAGGTCAGCGACCCCAACTCTGTTTTTCTTAAGGTCTGGTGTCTGGTATTGTCTGCAACATATTTCTTTTAATACTATGAACTTAAAAAAAAAAGAAAAAAACAGAACAGAGAACTTGCATAGTATTTGAAAACACTCTCTAATCTCTTATGATAATGCATGAGGAAAAGCAACGTGCTTGCGGTAATCTCTTATGATGATGTATGAGGAAAAGCAAAGTGCTTGCGGTAATTCTACCAGCAGTACTAAAGTCCAGCTGAAACCAGGAATCTTCAGATTTTTGATGGGAAGAGAAATTGGTTGAGATTAGGAGTGGAGAGAAGAGAAAAGGGGAAAATAATGAAATATATACTTATCTCTTCACAGTAGCTCTATCAGCTAGGTATACCAGAGACTCAAAAAGTTTTGTTAACTTCTTCAAGGTCAACAGCCTGAAGCTCAAGCTCATCTAAGACTCCAGCACAAGTTGTTGCAGAGAGAGTTAGGCCCTTGATTGTCTGGAAGGGGGGCCTGAATGTGGGCCGAACTTACTTGGCGTGGAGAAGTTGTCTTTAGTTACTACAACCACTCTGACACACCACTTAGAAATCCAGAGATATCTAAATACCAGCATTCTCTTTGTTAAATGAGTATTT
The DNA here is from genome assembly GCF_000001405.40 of Homo sapiens. Taxonomy (NCBI): domain Eukaryota; kingdom Metazoa; phylum Chordata; class Mammalia; order Primates; family Hominidae; genus Homo; species Homo sapiens. Next base: position 29,687,691 of record NC_000014.9, read on the forward strand.
ATGTGCCTTTGTCTTCTGATCATCTTCCCTGTTACACAGTAACTGCTTAAGAGTCTAATGTTAAAACCAACCACACCTGGAACAACAATTTACCCACATCTAGTGCTCAATATCTGTCACTGGAATGAGTAGATGAACACATAAACACGCCCTCATAAGCATGTCCATTTGTCTGTCCATTTGCTGTCTTCAAGACCAATTCATATCCATAATCTGATTTCATCTACCTAATACTTGTATTAGTTTCCTACTGCTGCTACAGCAATAGGACTGTAAACTCCGTGGCTTAAAATAACACACATTTATCACAGAGTCCAGGAAGTCAGAAGTCCAAAATGGGTCTCAGTGAGCTAAAATCAAACTGTCAGCAGTCTGCATTTCTTCTGGAGTTTCCTGGAAATAATACATTTTCTTGCCTTTCCAGCTTTTGCATTTCTTGGCTCATGGCACATTCCTCCTTGGAAGCCAAAAACGTTAGGCCAATCCCTTTCACCCTATGGTCCCTCTGATTCTCTCTCTTCTGCCTCCTGCCTCCACATTTAAGAACCTTGTGATTACTTTGGGCCCACTAGGATAACCTCCCTATCTTAACATCAGCTGACAGCAACTTAATCACATTTGCAACCTTAATTCTCTTTTTTCATATACCCTGACATCTTCACAGTTTCCAGGATATAGAACATGGACATCTCTGGGGTACCACCATTCAGCCCACTGCACAACTTTATGAGGTAGGTGGGGGCGGGAGTTTCTCCTGGTATGGATTAGGAAAATGAAATGAGAACAATTAAATCCTTTACCCATGACATAGTTATAGGCAGTGGCAAAATCAGAACTACAAACTAGTTATAGTGATATCCAGTGTAGTAACCTAGTATTCCTACCATGATCCCTTTTATTCCTTAAACTTTGAGAGGTCTAAAATTAAGTCAAGATGGATTAAAGACTTAAATTTAAAACCCGAGGCATGATGGTTCGTCCCTGTAATCCAAGCACTTTGGGAAGCCAAGGCAGGCTGATTGCCTGAGCTTAGGAGTTCACGACCAGCCTGGGCAACACGGTGAAACCTCATCTCTACTAAAATACAAAAAAATTAGCCGGGCGTGGCAGCGTGCACCTGTAGTCCCAGCTACTTGAGAGGCTGAGGCAGGAGAACTGTGTGAACCCGGGAGGTGGAGGCTGGAGTAGGCAGAGGCTGGAGTAAGCAGAGACCACGCCACTGCACTCCAGCCTGGGTGATAGAGCGAGACTCCGTCTCAAAAAAAAAAAAAAAAAAAAAAAAAGAAAGAAAAAAAAGAAAACCCGAAAGTATAAAAACCCCAGAAGAAAATCTATGCAATACCATTCAGGATATAGGCACAGGCAAAGATTTTACAATGAAAATGCCAAAAGCAATTGCAACAAAAGCCAAAAAATGACAAATAGGATCTAATCAAACTAAAGAGCTTCTGCACAACAAAAGAAACTATCATCAGAGTGAAAAGACAACCTACAGAATGGGAGAAAAATTTTGCAATCTACCAATCTGACAAAGGGGTAATATCCAGAGTCTACAAGAAACTTAAACAAATTTACAAGAAAAAAAAAACATTACAAAGTGGGAAAATGACATGAACAGACATTTCTCAAAAGAAGACATTCAGGCAGCCAATAAACATTTTTTAAAAAGCCTAACATTACTGATCATTAGAGAAATACAAATCAAAATCTCAATCAGATACCATCTCATGCCAGTCAGAATGGCAATTATTAAAAAGTCAAGAAACAACAACAACAAAAAAACAAGAAACAACAAGGTTGCAGAGAAAAAGGAACACTTTTACACTATTAGTAGAAATATAAATTAGTTCAGCCATTATGGAAGACAGTGTGGTGATTCCTCAAAAATCTAGAAGCAGAAATACCCATTTGAGCCAGCAATCCCATTACAGGGTATATACCCAAAGGAATATAAATCATTCTACTATAAAGATGCATGGACGTGTATGTTCATTGCAGCACTCTTTACAATAGCAAGACATGGAATCAACACAAATGCTCATCAACAATAGACTGGATAAAGAAAATGTGGCACATACATACCATGGAATACTATGCAGCCATAAAAAGGAACAAGAGCATGTCTTTTGCAGGGATGTGGATGGAGCTGGAAGCCATTATCCTCAGCAAATTAATGAACAGAAAACCAAACACCACATGTTCTCACTTATATGTGGGAGCTGAACAGTGACAACACATGGACACAGGTAGGGGAATAACACACACTGGGGCCTGTCACCGGGTTGTAGGAGGGAGAGTATCAGGAAGAAAAGCTAATGCATGTTGGGCTTTATACCTAAGTGACAGGTTGATCTATACAGCAAATCACCATGGCACGTGTTTACCTATGTAACAAACCTGCACATGCTGCACATGTATCCCGGAACTTAAAAGTTGAAGGAAAAAACAAAAAGAAGAAGAGAGGTCTCCGTCTCTTCTTACTTTCTAGATAAGGTCATCCACTCCCATGGTTTAATTATTCCGTGAATGTTTATACTCCCCAAGTCCATCCCTACCCCCAATATCTGCCACAAACTTTAGATTTGTGTTATCAGCTGTCTACCACACAGTTTGTCTGTTCATTTCACAAGAGCCTTCAATGGAATATATTCAACACCAAATTCAACAACTTCTCTAAACCTGTTTCTCTTCTATGCTTCTTATTTCAATTTTGTCATATTCCTACACCCAAAACATGGGTGTCATCCTTGCTTCTTTCCACTTTTCTGTCTCCAAATATTCAGTACCTAAAACTCCTACTTTTCAAATCGGCTTACTTTTCTCCAACTCTGCTTCTGTGAATAAAGCCACCATCATCTCTTACCTAAATTTCTGCTTCAATGTCTCTTTCCCCTGCTTCACTCTTCTTCCTTTTCCAATATATTCTCAATGCTATAGCAAAACTTGAACCAATGCTCGCATGGATAACGGCATGACCCTTTATGTAATCCTCCAATCTGTTGATCTGTTTAAACTCATCTGACTCTTCTAACCTTGGGACTCCTCTCTCCAGCACAATTTGAATTCTCCTACTTTGTGACATGTATGTGCACTCTCTTGGTTCTGGCATTTCAATATCTCAGAATACCCCCATTCTTACATTCTCATCTGGCTAAATCCTAGTCATCCTTCAGTTTTCAGCTTAAACTTCATTGGACTTCTCTTAACTTCCCTTTTCTCTTCCGTGTAGATAAATATCTCCCCCATGTGCTTGTCTTTACCGTGGTAATGTATGATAACTGGTGAATCATTTAGTTTTGACTTGAACAACTGCAGGGCTGTGCTGAGCACCATTTTATCCTCATGCTTAGCACAGGGCATGGCATCAAGTACACGGTCAATACACACTTGTAACATGAATAAATGACATGTTCAATTATATTAAGTTCCAAATTCAAATGCAGGGCGAGAAAGAGCCCACTCATTTTTAATACAATTCTACCGGGGTCTTTCATACATCTGGTTGTCCCCAGTTTTCCGAGTTCCTAAAACCCACATCCAAACTATGTAGAACACCAGGCCAGTTCCCATGGCCAGTGGTTCTATACAGCCCACTCGTGATTAACTTGTGTTTGCACAATGAAATCACCTGAGGGACTTTTAAAGCATATCCATGCTGGACCTATAGAAATTGATTATGTCTGGGGGTGGGGAAGTATAGGTATTTTAAAAAGTTCCCCAAGTGATTGTAATGAGCAGCCAAAGTTAAAAACCACTGATGTGTAATTTTAAAATACTCCCATGACATTAAGGGCTTTCTGAGAGTATGTGGTCCACAGTGACCTCAACAGCTCCAAGTCCATATTGCCTTGCAGAGGATGGCTAAAACAATTATTAGGTTGGTGCAAAACTAATTGCACCCAAAGTAACAATTATTAGGTTGGTGCAAAAGTTATTAGGTTGGTGCAAAAGTAATCAGGTTGGTGCAAAAGTAAAACCACAATTACTTTTGCAACAACCTAATACAATAACAGCATCTCCTACTAGGGCTGGTGCTTTGAGGGGAAGAATTAGTTGGATTAGGTATGTACAAAGGGTAAAAAGTGATGATCACTTTTTCAGCACTTAATATTTCTATAATTAAAACAAAGATTCCTGCTATTTGTCGTCACCATATCACAAACTTTGAAGATATATTTAGAATGGTCTAAGTTGGAATACAAGTTATGGTAGCTAAAAAAAAGGAGGTTTTCCCCTCCCACCAACTACTTTAGTGAAGAGGTAGCCTTCTTCCAGAGTTTTTGAAGATGTGAACATACAATTTTAGGTTAGTGCTCCACCAGAACAAGTAGCATATTAAACTTTCATGGATGTGTATAAATTCAATATTTTAAATGTGAAACTTAACACACACTTTGAGTCCAACTTAAATATTCCTATGTGTGAGTCATTAATTTATGAGTTACCCCCCTTATAAAAGTGGGTCATTTTAGAAATGTAAAAATCTCTTTAAATGGAGTTCAGAAAAAACTTCCTGTTCATTTTTTTTTTTTAAATATAGAGGTCCTTTAGTTCAAGTGCACCTGTTGGATGATTCCATTGGAGACTTTAGTCCAAGTGCACCTGTTGGATGATTCCATTCCTGCCATTAAATCTTACTGTGTAGACAGTTAAATACAAAATTAAATGCCCCAGCACTTCAGATTTTGTAAACATTTGACCTCAGTTGTAATACTGAAAGCCAGATAACTCTACAACTTAAGCACTGGGTTTTAATGAAGAAGAAACTTTCAGAATGGCCATTCTCTTAGTCGCTTTTTAGGAAGGAATTGCTTTTATTTACAGGTGGGAGGGAAGAGAATTGCAAAATTTGGTGGCCACCAGAAAGAGGAATGTAAAACTGTTTGGTAAGAGGGAGAAATCTGGATATTTTCCTTTTGTAATTAAAGCTCAGTTTGAATGTGTATTACAGGAAACATTATGTACCCATTTAAAAAAAAAGGTGGCATCACCATCCTCATCTTCACTAATTCAGATTACTCTGAATGCTACTTCACAGACACTTAATTCACTCATCCTTCCCCTTTGCCCTTTCAAAAAACAAATGTCATCATGTCCTTATAGGGGGACTGATAAATAAAAATTTTACAACTTTGAAAGTTATTTGAGATATAACTTGGCCAAATAACCACAGTACTTTTCTATGTGTTGGCTAATATTGATTCATTTCATCGTAACTAAACTGTAAGTCACAACAAATATCCACATATAAAGAAGTGAAGTATAGGCCATATGCAATAAAGCAATTATTCTATGGCCTTGACATTTCCTAAACGATTGCTCAGTAATACAATGCGTGATGTATTTTAAAATCTGCTACTTGGTAAAGAATTTGGGCATTTTTTTTGATGCAAATGAGAAACATCTATTATTTACTTAGAAACAACTTCTGCAAAGTATTTGAACTCAACAAGCAGTGCAATTCTGGTATTCTTACTAACTGGTTAAATTCTAAAAATGTTGAAACTCATGTTGTCACAGTTTAATGTTGATATTCAGAAAATACCTCTTCTAAGTCGGAAGTTTTGAATTTTCAAGTACTTTGTGTTCTAAAGGCTATCAGGTCTCAATTTTGGTGGCCAAGGATTGTTGGGAACTCTGTTAAATCTCATATTCTTTGCTGCAAGTTTGGGTCTTATCAGTCCATTTATTTCCCTAGAGGCGTAAAAAATGTAAATTTCCACATTATAACAAATACAAATCCCATGGAACCCAGAAATCAATGCAAAAAAATAGCAGTGTAAACTATGAAAAATAAGTTGCTACTGAGATTGTTGGAAAGTTTGAATGACCTTGTAAACTGTTACACATAAGAAAGAAGTCTTGATATAATCAATTCTGAATTTCAAGCAGGAATTCAAGTCTTCCATGGACTGTAAGCACTTTATGACCTCAGTCAAAAAAAAAAAAAACAACAACAACAAAAAAAAAAAACCAACACCATGGCTAAAAATCCTGGTATCATTACAATAAGGACAAGTAAATTTCAAATCCATATTATCTTGTAAGAAGAAATTACTGTCTGAGGATGAAGACTTTATAGGTCACCCAATCCAACCTCCCAACATTATCACTCACAGACTGTTACCCAGATGGTTTCCTGCAATAGGCAATTTATTTGCTCAAAAGAGAACTTAGTCCATTTTGGATAGTCTTTTCAGTAAGATTTTTCCATAGGCAGAGCCAAAATCCGCCTCCTACTGGTCTTACCTGTTCTTGTTGTAGCTACAGAAGCTAAATCTCATCCTTACCCTTTTTAATAAATCTTTCAAATATTTGAAAATATGCATCAACCTTCATAGGAACCCTCTACCTTCTACAATCTGAATCTCTACCTTTGACAGGAGGAGACTCTAGATCCTCCAATAGTTCTTCCTACTGTTCCTAGGTTTTTGCCAGCCAAGCATCCTCTAGAATACTAAAATTTATTGAAATGATGTTAAAAATATGGTGCCCAGAACTGAAAATAATACAGGTTCCAACTATGCAGAATACAGTAAAATCGTTATTGCTAACAAATAACCACTTTAATTTTCTAGGTAGACATATCACACTGTTAGTTCATATAGAATATTTGTCAACTAAACCCACTATTTATTTGTCACACATTTCAGCTGAAAAAGTTAACTTGCCCAATTATGAGATAGAAAAGACTTTGCTTAATAGCAGCTTAATATGCCACAAGTGAAATTTCTTGTGGACCATTTCTCAATGTTCTGATATTAAACGATGAAAAGGTTGCATTCTTCTAAGCAAGAAATATTTACTGATCATCTACTATGTTCCAAAAACTGTGAAGCACTGAAGATAAGGCAGTGAAAAATAACAGATAGAGATGTTTCCTCTAGTGAAGACTGCATGCCACTGGAGGAGACAGAAAATAAAATAGATTAATAAATCATGTAGTATGTTAGGTAGTGATAAGTATGAGGAGAAAATATAAAGCAAGAAGTGGGGGATGGGAAGTATCAGGGACTCTTAGACATAAAAATGTTGGAAAGGGTGGCCAGAGAAGGACTCACTGAGAAGGTGCCACTTCAGTAAGAGTGAGAAAATGAAGAGTGAAACAGGTAGATGTTTGAGGCAAGGGCATTCCAGGTAAGGGGAATAGCATGCACAAAGACCAAGAAGTGGGAGCAGGCTTGGTGTATTCAAGGATTAACAAAGAGATCAATGAAAGAATATAAAGCCTTAGAAGTCACAGTCTTAAAAGGACAGCCGGGCCAGGCACGGTGGCTCACACCTGTAATCTCAGCACTTTGGGAGGCCCAGGCTGGCGGATCACCTGAGTACAGGAGTTTAAGACCAGACTGCCCAATATGGCAAAACCCCGTCTCTACTAAAAATACAAAAAATTAGCCAGGCATGGTGGTGGGTGCCTGTAATCCCAGCTACTCAGGAGGCTGAGGCAGGAGAATCACTTGAACCCGGGAGGCGGAGGTTGCAGTGAGCTGAGATCCTGCCACTGCACTCCAGCCTGGGCAACAAGAGGGAAACTCCATCTCAAAAAAAAAAAAAAAAAAGGACTACCAATTGATATATCTGTGAATGAGGTGGAAAATGACTGTAGACATTTGAACAAAAGAGTGATATGATCCAGTGTAGAATTTAATCAGGTCTTCTAACTGTTGTATCAGGAGAAATGTGCTTGATGGCAAGGGCAGAGGCAGGTGAAAGTTGATGCTGACTTGGACCAGGGTAAAAGCAGTAGAGGATGGGTGAACTGATATGTTGAATGGAAAGTAGATACAATTTGATAACGGAGCAGAGGTAGAGTATGAAAAAGAGAAAGCAAAGATGACTCCAAAGCTGTAGATCGAGCAACAGAAAGCATGAATGGGCCATTTGCTGAGATGGGAAGAGCCTAAGAGCTGCAGGTCTGGAAGAAACTATGAGCAGTTTGGTTTTGGGTATTTTGCCTTTGCAAAGCTTCCTAGACATTCCAAGTGGAGATGTTGAGTTAGAGGAAGCTGGATATGAGAGTCTGGAGCTAAGGAGAGACATTTTTAAACTGGAAAGAGTTTTGAGTTCATCTCTAGGGAAATATCAGAAAAGAGGAAGAGTGCCAGCCAAGGCAAACTGGAAAGTGCTATTGCAGATTTTAAAAAGGAGAAAGAACGAGAGAAAATGATAGATCAATAAATGTAAAATGGAAATATCTGGAATGTCAGAGGTTGATAGCATTTTACAATAAATGTAAAATGGAAATTTTTGGAATATCAGAGGTTGAGAGCATTTAGGCGAAAAAATACTAATTAGCTGATCCATTTGAGCCAGATAAAATCACTTTTTCTTAGGAGTGAGTGAGTCTTACATTAGTCTTCTTTTGCAATTTCTGAAAGATAAAGCAATAACTAGCATATAAAGCATTGCATTTTCAGCAAATCGCATGTTAGAGTGACTCGGGATAGTCTAGTAAGTTAAAAAACAAAACACAGCATGAGCTGAACATTACACATATGAATTGCTGATGAACTGATTTATGTCTATCTCCATGAAATTATCTAGTAATAGAGTCAGGCCTATATATGTGCATATGTACTAAGTTTTTATTTTTTATTTTTCAAATCAGTATCTTAGTTGAAGAGATAAAATGCTATTTAGTATAAAACATAAAGGATATGCAAAGCTAGAAAAGGACAGTTGTTTATAAGATACGAAAATCAAGTTTCCCAAATTTGAAATATCATTTGGATTACAGACTAGAGCTGATTCCTATGTTTCACATTTTCTACTAGGTTCATACTTTAAAATGCCTATAAAGGCTGCTAATCATTATGGGTTCCTTTTTGCGATGATGGAAATTTCTAAAGTTAGATAGTGATGACTGCATAACTTTGTGAAATACATTAAAAACCACTGATTTGTAAATTTTATATGAGTGAATTTTATGGTATATGAATTATATCCCAATAAAATATTTTTAAAATGTCTCTAAAACTTGGCAGGAAATAAACCAAAATAAATGAAGTAAATCACTTTCTATTACTTCAACAATTCTGCTTGAAATATTCAGTCATCTCAATTTTTTTTGTTTTCTCATTTCCTAGACATTCAGTTTCTGCTAAATATGTCTAGATAGTGAGAGATATAATTTGTAATTATGAAAATGAGTGGTAACTTATACTCAGCTTCCATGGAAGGAAGACCCTGCAGTGGAGGTGACTGTATTGAACAGAGGAATTCAAGAACCATCAGAAGAGAGGCCACCTACTTCACATAGTGACAACCATGGGATGCCGTGCTTGAGCGCCATTTTCCTTTGGATTTTCAAGAAAACCCTGGAGTCCAGTTTTTTATGTGAAATCTCTATAATTTTTTCATGTCTTCCCTGATTTTCTAGAAAAAGAAGCTGGTTGGGCCCAAGATATCACATCTACAGGTCCTATCTGGCCCATGCACCGACAGTTTGTAACCACATGTCAAAACATAGTAAAAAAAAAACAAACAAACAAACACCACCACCACCAACAACAAAAATGTACCTATATTTAAATCCATTCCTACTCTGACAATGTAATTTAAATTCATGGTGTCATGAACTAATATATACAGTTTTATCTTTTGAAAACTATTCTTCTTATACCATGTTCCAAGGCAGATGACCTCTTATACTCAGAGAGCAAATAACAGCATTAGCACAACTCCTAACGTTTCTATAGCATAAATGAATACATGTACACAAGATTAAACATTTAATTAAAAGCTAAAATTTCATCCGAATTACCATTTTCTAAAATCAGTGTGGTATGCATCATGTATGCAGATTTGCTTTTACTAACATTTTAAATTCCACAAAGTAGTTTCAGGACAGTCACTGCTTAGCAGTATGTTAACCCATTGCAAACATCTATTTTATTAAAATCTATGTGCAAAATCACTTTTTGGGAAAGGCAATAATGTTGTAATATAAAATGTCGTTTCATGAATTGGACTAAGAAAATTTTAGAAGATCACACTTTAGTTCCTTTTCATTTTTTTTTTGACATGATTGTGCTTGAATTTCTCCAGCAATTTCAGCAAATGTATTTTTAACTTTAACAAACAGTAAGCTTTAATGTATTCCTGTTTGACATAATGAAATTGTATAACTCCCACGACTTTCTGCTTTTTTGATATTATATAAGAACCCTGTAATTTTATATGCCAGAGAAGACAGAGCACCTGAGAATAAATGCTATTCAAACTTGTAGAGCAGTATCTGAAGATGCACTATGCATTTCTAAAGTAACTTGAGGTCAAAATTCACAAGAAAACAAGAGATGTTCAAATAAACTTTACTGAAGTGTGTTTTTCTGATTACATCTTATCTTTCAAATTTTCCCAAACACTGTTATCAGTATTCACATGGAATCTGTCAATGCATAGATATTTACAGCACTAACCTGTTGTCTCCCCATTTCAAAGAGTTGGGTATTTGAAATTAAGTTTTGGAAAAACTGAAAAATGACATTTGAAACATAAACAAATGTTTATAATCACTATTATCTGGATAATCACATATGATATACAACTTTTTAAATTACTAAAATTAAGCAAACTATGGATGGTTCTTCAGGATGTCATTTTTTAATGAAGAGAGCAAAGTAACAAGTATAACAGTATTATTTATAAGGAAAGCTTTTTCTTTTTTACAGTTTTGAAATTTCACAAAGCAAGCTTTATCAAGCTTGACAAGAGAGAAAAGATATATTAAAAATGACTTCTTAAGGAAAAATCCTAGACGGTAGATACAGATTGGCCTTCTAACTTAATTTCTGCTTTCCAGTTTGTCATATAAGTTTAAATAGTACATAAAAACCTAACTTTTCCAATTCCTTTTTAGCTCTCTAATAATGAAACTCTAAAACTCTCGAAATTGGGAAAGGGCTGGCCTTCCTTCCTCTATAGAACGTCATCCTACACCTTCATCTGCTTGCATTTAAAGCCATTTGATAATGTAAGTGCCTCCTGGACACAGCTCCATGCAATGTGTGACAGAGCTGCTTGCTGGTTTGTGAGTCTTGACAACTGACTTAATCGTGGTCTCTTTTCCCTAAAATTAAGGGCAAAAATCAATAGCATCCAGGATCCTATTTAAAATTACATCACAATGTTCAGCCTGCACTAACCTCATGAAGTAAAAGAAACTGTGTTGGGGATGAAGTAAAGAATGCCTTTTCCTGTTAGATGCTAAAGTGCAAAAACAGATTCGCGTGGTTAAGTATAGCCTTTGACAAGGTGCGATCCACCGAATACAGTCTGCTTACTTTTTTACACTTAATGCCATGAATATTGCCATGTCAATCACTACAGATTTCCTTCAGCCTTCCTTCTATTATATAGTATTTAATGGCAATGACATATCAAAATTTGGTTACCAATGGGTACTTACCATAGCGGATTTCTAATTTGTTGCTAATATCCTTATAAGAAGTATTTCTACATGTGAAAGTATTTCTAAAGAGTAAAAATGAATTGCTTGGTCAATGACTTTTTGTTTTACAATTTTTGAAAAGTACTATCAAGTTGCCTAACAAAAGAGCTTTACCAATTTACCTTCCAACCAACAGTTTGTGAGGCTGCATATTTCCCTGTACCCTCATCAGTACTGTATCCAATACTGGGCTTTTAATTTTTGACTGTCTGCTAGGTGAAAGATTAATTTGCACTTTGTAGATTACAGATGAGGTTGGCCATTTTTTTTCAATTGCGTATTCATCTTCCATTTGTATTCACATATTTTTAGTTCTTCTGTAAACTGTCCAGACCTTTGCAAATTTTTCCTTTGATTAATTTACTTGTTTTTATTTCTGAATGAGGCTCCATGTGTATCTTAATTGTTAATCCTTTGCCTTTTATGGCAAAGTTTTCTCCAATTCTTATGCTAAAGCTTTATATTTAAGGTATTTTTAATTGTTTAGGAGTTTAAATATTTGAGTAGGTTTGAATAGGGCAATGATTTCCCTTAATATTTTAGAGTTTTGACTTTGTTTCTTAGTTCTTAACTGCTTAGAATTTATTTTCTAAATAGATATCCAATTGTTCCAACCCCACCTATGGTATAACACATTCTTTGTTTTACTGATTCAAAGTGACACTGCATTTTTATACACAAATATATCTCTTTCTGGAGGCTACAGATCTGTCTTTAAGGCAAAACCACATTGTTTTAATTATTAGCTGTGTAGTACATTTTGATATCTGGAAGAGTAAGTGCTCCTTTATCATTCTTCTTTTGGAATGTATTCTTTTTGGTATTTTAAAGTTTTATTTAAAAGATTTTAAAACCAAAAGAAAGAAAGGTATAGTAAGCTCCCATTTCCCACACTAGGTTCAAAAATTATCAAGATTTTCCTATATTTGCTTAGCTTATCCCTTCTTTTTTTTTTTCCCTTGCTGAAGTATTTTAAAGCAAATTCCAGATATTTTGTCATTATACCCCTACAAATTTTAGGGTACATTTCTTTAAAAAAACCAGACATTCGCATACATAATTAAAAATGCAATAATCATATTAATTGAAACTAACAATTTCAATTATCAATATCACCTAATTTCTACTCCATAAACAAATGTCCCCCAATAGTTTTAAAACTTGTTTTTATAATTGATTTGTTTGAATAAGAGCTGAATGAATTCAATATATCACATTTGGTTATTATGTCTCTTAAATCTCTTTTGATCTAGAGAAGTCCACCTCCTTTTTCTTCATTTTTAAAATGCTGCTGACACGTAGAAGAAGCCTAATCACTTCTGCTCCTTGTTTTTTCATTTAACTTCTTCCTATTTTTTCTGTATTTCATGTAAAAGAAAGTTACCTCTGGAGGACTAATTAAATTCAGGTTCAACTTTTTGGGCAAGAATGCTTTATGTTTGTGTGACGGTTAATCTTATGTGCCTTCTTGGCTAGATTATGCTCCAGATATCTGGTCAAACATTATTCTAGATATTTCTGTGAAGGTATTTCTTGATGAGATTCCGGTAGACTTTGAGTAAAGCAGTTTACCCTCCATAATATGGGAGGACCTCGTCCAATCAGTTGAAGGCATTAACAGAAAAAAGACTGACCTCCCCTGAAGAAGAGGGAATTCTGTCAGCAGACTTGGGACTCCAGCTGCAAGATCAATTCTTCCCTGGGTCTCTGCTACCCTATCCTACAGATTTTGGACTTGTCAGCCTCCACAATCACATGTACCAATTCCCCTCGCTCTCTCGCTGTCTCCCTCCCCTTCCTCCCAAGGCATTTGTGTGTACGCGTGCGCATGCGCGCGCGCGCGCACACACACACACACACACCCTGTTGTGTGTGGGAACTCTGGGAATCCTACTTAATAGAGTTCAGAACTGTGTACTTCATTTTGCATAACATCTTGAGGCCCACAATGTCTACTTTAGTACTGATTGATAAGTAGATTCAGGTGGTTATATCTGATCTTTTCATTTTGAACTTCCTTACCAAAGTTTTATCTAAAACTGAGGCTCTTGAAGTATGATTCTCAGACTAGCAGCATCAGCATCACCTGGAAATTTGTTAGAAATGTATGTTCTTGGCCACACCCCAAACATATTGAATCAGAACCTATAGGAGTGAGGCCCAAAAATCTACGTTTTCACAAGTCCTCCAGGAGAGTCTGATGCACAGTACACTTGAGAAGCAATGCCGTAATGATTTATCCATTGATGAACACTGCCTAGATCAATGATTTTATTAAAGGCTGCAAAAGCATGACTTTCTCTTTCTCCCATTCATTCCACATTACTAGCTGAAATTTTTTCACAACGAATATCTTTTCCTCATAAATTAGTGCTATTTGGTTATTTGCAATTCAGTTCATACATGAAAGGCTACATAAATTCTGAATTCCTTACTTTTACTTGTTATTTTTTTGAATAATTAGTTGGTACCCTAATTATTTCCAGTGGTAGTCAATACTTTTTCTTTTCTTTTTTAACTCTTACATATCATGAGCTCACAGATTTTTATATATTCAGTATGCTTCCAGCAATTGAACTTTTTAGTCTTTTTGATGCTTAAATTGTTCCACATTTGCTCAGTCGGTGATCCTTCATGTTGGTAACTATATCTTTTTGATGATACTCAGTTTTTGATAATTTATTTGCTACCTAGCATAATATGATCTGAGGCTGATATTCTATATTTCTGGTCTCAGACTTAAATCCTCTTAACATCTCAGAATCACAAGAGCCCAAAATTGGGATACCGAAGATATTCTTTCACATTTCCCCTTTCAGATCAGTTTATCAAATGAAATAAATTCCTTTGAAATTTATTAGGATTGTAATAAATTAATGATTAATCTGGGAAGAACTAAAATGTTTATGTTATTGAACCTCTCTATCTAGAAATATGGAATCGTCTCCTTTGCTCTTCTTGCATTGTAATCCAAGAATGTATCACAGTTTTCCTCTAGAAGTATGGATGTTTCTAAGGTTTAATCCTAAGTATTTTATGGATTTCTCTGATGATTTATGGTTTATTATCAACCCCTCTAATTGCGTGTAAGAGCTTTTAAGTTTAATTTCTTAGGTTTAACTGTCAAACTGTGTAGAAAACAGTTATTGGTTTTCTCCTTTCTAATGCTTATATACAATTTCTTTTTCTTATGTCGTTAGCTAAGACCTCCTGTATAATATTTAGTAATATGATATTAGACCATTCTACTTTATTTCAGACTTTTATGAAAATAATTCTTTCTCACTTCCCTGTTATATGAGGTACTTGATACAGGTTAAGAAAGTTTATCTTTATTCCTAACTTGCTACACATTTATCTCAGAAATAGATGCAAAATTTTCCAATACCTATTGAAATGATCATATTGTTTTCTTTTTTAATCTATTAATGTAAGAATTTTGCAATAATACATTTATGGAAACTGTACTACCCTTCACTTCTAGAACAGACTTCATTTAGATTTTCAAAGGTATTGATAAAAAGTTATGCATAGTATTATCTTTAATATTTTGTAATTCCCTTATTTTATTGTTCTCTTAAATGTCCTTTAGCGAAGTAATTAATTCATTACTTCTAAATATTTTTGTACACTAATAAATGCATTTAAGGGTATTGATTTTCTTCCTGAGACCATTTTAGCAATATCCTAAAAGTGCATAATGAATAATGCTCTCATCATTCATTTCAAATTAGCTGTAATTTCATGATTTGTTTGTTCTTTTTAACCTGAAGTTTTAGAATGATATTTTAAAATTTCCAAGTTAATAAATTTTGTTTGTCCTTTCTATTTTTATTTTATTTTACTGCACTAATGTTGAGGAACATAGCCTGGGAGGTTTCTACTTTGAGGAATTTATTAAGATTTTCTTTGCCACGTGGTCAAATCTGTGATTTTTTTTCCCCATAGGTTTTTGACCATTCTTTGTCTATGCCTTCCTCTCAGTTACCTCATCAATATTTACCAATCCTCAACTCAAGAAGCTTTCCTATTTAAATCCCAGCATCTCCTATCACCTTCCATGCAAAAACAGTGGTAACATCTCTAACTATGCCTACTAGACTTTGGAATAAAGTTAATGTCTCCTTTTTACTTTCTCCCCTTTCAGCCTTCAAGGAATCCACTTCAATTGTACTAAGCCCTGCGCTGCACAGGGTATGACAGCTAAATTTGAGGGCTGCTGTTTGGTAGGCAGACTGTGTCTGGTGCTACCTGTGAATCGTTATACTCCACTGGGTTTTGGGACAGTTTCTATTGCTCTTAACTCAAATGATTGTAGTATTAGATGTTATGTGTTATGTCAGAAAATGAGACATTGAACATAACTTTATTCTTCTTTGGGAAAGAAATAACAAATTTAGAAGGGTTTTGATGATTACTATCTCACAATCAGAAAATAAGAATTTAGAAGGATATACTGGAGAGTAGAAAAGGAAGATGTAGGTATAAAGGAAGATGATAAGATTTACGTGTATATCTTTTTTTCCCACCTCATGTTAGAGTCTATGTACACAAATAAATATATGTTAATGAATATATCTTTGGGGTGACAACTAATCAGTCATGCAAACATAAACAATACAGAGGGAATAAACATCTCTAGGGATGCTTCAGAACAAAGGTCCAGGCTCAAGGGATACTCTCAAACTCTTTCCTATGAATCAAGATTTGAATACTTGTGGCCATGGCCTTTCACATGGCCTCTCACAAACCCCAAAACACATACAGAGTTGTTTGTATTCTGAAGTAAAAACATCAGAGTGGGCAAGCCAGTGCTTTCACTGGGTGCTGGATTCTGAGAATCAAAACATTTAGGAAAACACAGATCTTATATTTGAATATCCTTATGATAGGTAATACTGAATATTTCCACAAGAAATGTAAACAATACAACACGGGACAAAACCATTCGACAAAGAGTTTTTGGACTGTGAGGCGCTGAGGCTGAGAAAGGGTATCTAGTGAAGAGACAGTCATGCTCCTTGCCATAGCTGACAGAGACCCAGGGGAAAGGCCTGTTTATAAAAGAAGACCCATGACTCAGAAATAAAACATGTAATTATGGCATAACCATAGAAAGGACCCACCATGAGAAAAATATAAAATAAGGGCTACTCAATTCCTATGGAATGGTCTCTCATCTTTGTACTAGTAGCCACTCATCCTTTATACCTGGCTATGTGGATAACAGCATTTGGTATCGAGTCCGACTAATCTCTTTATCATTCTTGCCAAAGTAAAACACTAATTTACAACACATTACTATCCTACTTTGAATGACAAGAAATTTATTTTCTGATTGGAGAACTACACTCTAAGGAATCCTTCAAAAAGCCTTCAAAGAGGGCAGAGAATCAGACCAAAGTGCATCTGACTCCAAAGCCCTTACCACTGCACAATAATTCCACCCACCCCCTGCCCCAATTTCAATGTTGTTTCAATACAAATCTCAAGAGCATTCACGTGGGAGCCTGTGTATCCCCTCAACAGTAACTGGTTTTCTTTGTTTTGTTTTGTTTGAGACCCCAAACTTCCATTCTATATGTTCAATGACTTCATACTTATGCACATTTACTCAGGTATTTTAAATGAGTTATTTTTTTCTCATTTTTTTGTGTAGATGGCATAATTAAAAAGTTTAAATAAGTTGAAAGAACAGACGCATGTATCTAGAAGGATTTGGTATATCTCTTTTACACACACAGACATACACACACAAATAGACTCACACACAATTCGGTCCATGTGATATTTGTCCTATCAAGGCTAAAGATGTAGTGTTATTCCATCAAAATTACCACTGCATAAAATGCCACTTTAGATTGCTCTGCCCTGACAAGAGTGGAAAATCTCTGCTTCACAGAAGCAAAGCATAACTGTACTTCAGGACTGCAAGGTACTATAGCCAAATCCTTTGAATTACTCACGTCGATATGTTATCCTCTAAAGACGATGATCTGAATAACCACTATCCTTATTTTATCCCTGAAATTTATCCCTGAAATAACTTATTCCCAAGAAATAAATGTATTTGAGCTTCTTGACATTTTTATCCTTATATTCCACAGAACTTAAGCAATTAAAATTATGAATGACCTCCATGTTATTTTAACATACTAGGTTGCTGCAAAAGTAATTGCGGTTTTTGCCACTGCTTTCATTTCAGAGATTAATTGAAAGTAAAGGCAAAAACTGCAATTACTTTTGCACCAACCTAACCCTCCTTTTATCAAACCTTTATCCTCTCGATGAACAGAAAAGCCAGATTCTGTTTTTTTTTTTGTCTTTATTGAGATATAATTCACATCCTATACAATTAACCCATTTAAAGTATATAGCTCAGTGGTTTTAAAAATATTCATAAGGTTCCTGAACCATCGCTGCTATCTGATTCCAAAATATTTCATCACTGCAAAATGAAACCCTGTCACTATTAGTAGTCACGACACATTCTTCCCTCCCTCAAGCCTATGGCAACCACTAATCTACTTTCTGTTTGTATGGTTGTACTGATTCCAGACATTTCATATAAATGCCATATAACATATAAACTGACTGGCTTCTTCATTTTGTCATAATGTTTTGCAGGTTCATCCATGATGTAACAAGTATCTTTACTTCATTTTTATAGCTAAATAATATTCTACTGAATGGGTATACCACATTTTCTTTAACCACCCCTTAGTTGATGAACATCTGTTTTTTCTACTTTTGGCTATAATTAATAATGCTACTATGAATATTTGTGTATAAACTTTTGTATGAACATATGTTTTCAATTCTTTGGGGTATAAACCAAGAAGTAGAATTGCTGGGAACTTCTTGAGGAACTGCCAAACTGTTTTCCAAAGCAGCTGCACCATTTTACATTCCATCAACAATTTATGAGGGTTCCAATCTTTCCACATCCTTGTCAAAATTGTTACTGTCTGTCTACTTGATTATAGCCATCCTACTGGATGTTAAATAGTATCTCACTGTAGTTTTGACTTGCATTTTCCTAATGACGAATGATGCTGAGCACCTTTTCATGTGCTTACTGGTCATATGTGTATCTTCTTTGGATAAATGTCTATTCAAATTCTTTGCCCATTTTATAAAATTGGTTTCCCCATTTCTTTTTAAGTCTTTGAATTTCAATGGAAATTCAATCCATATGCGTTATTCTTGTTCACTGATGAGTGTTTTCCAGGAAATCTTGTTAGATGCTGTTAAAATTATGAGTTTTAAAAACCCACACTAACATCCATTAAAACAATGTTGTCTTTGCAGTGACAAGTAATAATGATAATGTTCTAAACTGATTATCATCCATATCAAATTTAAATTCAAATCTGACTTAAGTGCCCATGACAACAATCAGCGTGAAAGTTTAATATATTCAAAAATAATTATTTAGCAACACTCATTGCCAGATGTTGCACAAGGCACCAGGGATAATAATAACAACAAGAAGAAAAAATGTTAAAACATGTAAGTGGCTTTAGTATCTCATATAATCTTTACCAAAAATCCTATGATATTATTGTTACACTTACAAATTAGGTAATCATGGTCCCTTCTTTCACAGAGTATCTTCTACTTTAAAACCAGCAAAAGTGTAATTATAAACAAAGTGAGATATGTTACTGAAGGGAACACCTGGTAGAAAAAGTTGCCTCACCCAAATGTGGTATTTCAGGTGAGATTCTTAGGGAAGGATATATGTGCTGAGTCATGAAAGATGAATTGAAATTAGCCAGGCAAATCAAATGAGGATGAAAATGCATACAAATAGTACAGGTTGAAGGACTAGCAGGTGTAAAAGGGAACTGGAAGCAAGGCAAGGCATTTCTTCTAATGTATTAAAAAAAATGGGAGCAGTTCCATATGCCCATATACTAGAATCGGGTAGAGTAGGGAGTAGAACAGGAAGCCATATTGCTGAAGAATTAAGTAGAAGTCAAATCACAAACAATTTCATAAATAATGTAGGAGGATTTAGCCTTATGCTATTGAAGGGTTTTATATAGAGAAATATTGTTATCCAATCCAGGCTTTAGAAGTTACTAGGATTACACAATAGAAAAGAATGAAATGAGAGGGAACAAAACTGGAGGCAAGGAAACCAACAAGGAAACTATTCCAGTGAGAAAGGTGGGAGAATATGGTACTTGAACTAGCAGATAGTAAGGGATGTAGTTATTTAATAGAAGGTAATATCAACAGAAGTTTGGGATACATTAGATTCCTTCAATTGTCCATTTAATTTATATGTATTGTGCTTATTGTCAGGCTCTGCTGTAGGCACTGAGAATATAGCATATAGCAATAAAGTAGAAAGATAATGTACCTGCCTTTGTGGAAATTATATTCGAGTGGGGAAGAAACATAAATAATAGCCAAATAGATAATTTATGATATATATCTGTAAGTCCAGTATCACTCACCTCTCCTATCAGTTTCTTCCCTGATGCAACCAAAGAACTGCTAACCATTTCCACCTCCAAACTAGGGCAGAACCTCCAATTCAGGCACTTTTTGTGTTTCTGGAGCTCAACTCCCTGTTTGTATATGAAACTCACTACTGGATTACTTCATGATATTAGTAACTTTTCACTGACTCCTGACTCTAGATTGTGTCTGTCGGCTTCATGAATGTTGATGTTCCATCCTGGACTCATTCTTTATTCATCATCATAAGATGGCCCCTGGGATACATCTTTCAGGCTAATAGATTACTGACCCTTCCAAGACCTCTCAAAAATATCTGGCTAATGACATATCAATCTTCATTAACTGCCCATCTCTTCTAACAGCAGCTCCTTGACCATCAAAGGTAATTTTGTCAACCTTACATTTGGAGGCTCACCTTTTATCTAAAACACAAATGCTGCTTAATAAATGCTGTTAGTCATTCTAGTGTGTTTATCATTCCTACCTAAGGAATTAACACATAATGATGTCCCCATCAAGCAGATAAGATGACATTAGGAAGGACAATTTAACAAGATGTCCAAATCAAGTCCCCAAATGAGGCAATGGGGAGTTGAAGGAACTAAGAAAGCACAGCCTAGAAATGATAAGACTTTAGGGCATTGACTATTTAAAGGATGACATTAAAAAGTGGCATTAGGATAATTTTACATATCTTCAGAGGAGCCAATAATGAAACAGACAATTGAAACTATTATTAGAATTTGAATCTACAAGTCTTCATTTTAGTGACTGAATAGGTATTAAGTGCATAAGCATCTGAATTTTTTGAAAAATTAATTTCAAAATGTATTGGTGGCCATGACGTTAAATAAAAGGTTTGTCTAGATATTTCGTTCTTACTAATTAGTCTCAGTGAGGTAAAGGGATCAAGCATCCTCACAAGTTAGAATATTTATTTAAGAAAAAAAATCTTTAGGCTGGGCGCACTGGCTCACGCCTGTAATCCCTGCACTTTGGAAGCAGGTGGATCCTTTCAGCTCAGGAGTTCGAGACCAGTCTGGGCAACATGGCAAAACCTCCTCTCTACAAAAAATACAAAAATTAGCCGGGCATGGTGGCTCGCATGCCAGTAGTCCCAGCTACGGAAGTGGGGAGGGTGCTGAGGTGGCAGGATCACTTGAGACCAGGAGGTAGAGGCTACAGTGAGCAATGTTCACACCACTGCACTCCAACCTGGGTGACAGAGCAAGTCCCTGTCTCAAAAACAAACAAACAAAACTTTAGGTCTTTAAATAAAAATAAAGCTACAACCACTCCCAAGATAGCAAAATTTTTTATATTTATTATAAGATATATTTTGGTGTACTTTATTAACTTTTACTATAGCATTAATGTGCCAAGTTTCTTCAATATGTACTGCATGCTTGGAAATTGTTATTAAGCAAATTCCCTTTGTTGATGGCAAATTCAGATCTAAAGAGAAGAGCTTCCTATATCTATTGATTAGCACCTGTTTCAGAAGCAGATTAGTTATGGAATAAAGTTGTCCCATAAAGTTAGCTTACTCAGTAAACAGAGTATGTTTCATTATTGTTACTAGTAAAGAATTTTAAAAGACATACAATTTATTTCCTTAAGTAAAAGGGAAAAATAGAAAAATATAGAAGAATTATTTTACAGTTTTTGTTGCATTAAGAACCATACCTACTTAATCATACCAGAATTCCAATTTATAAGCTTTTAAATCCCACCATATAAAAAATAAATCCGAGGAGATGATTAACACAAATTTCAAGACAGCGAGAAGGCACAGAGTCAGGGAAGGGGCACACAAAGGTTTTTCAGGATTATAGCATTGCTCTCATTGTTCAGGGGGACGGTTGTTATATTAGGATTCTCCAGAGAAAGAGAACCAATAAGAGAAATAGATAGATACAGATGCAGATACATAAAAAGATTTATTACAAGAAATTGGCTCAAATAATCATAGAGGCTGAGAAACCCCAAGATCTGCAGTTGGTAAGCTGGTGACCCAGGAGAGCCAATGGTATAGCTCCAGTCCAACTCTGAGTTCTAAAGCAGGAGAAGGCTGATGCAACAGCTTGGAAACAGGGAGAGAGAGCAAAATTTCCCTAGTCATTCTTTTTATTCTATTCAGGCCTTCAATTTATGGGATGATGCCCACACACATCAAGGAGGGCAATCTACTTTATTCCATCTACCAATATAAATATTAATCTCATTCAACCAATATAAATATTAATCTCATTCAGAAACACCCTCACAGACACACCGGGAATAACCTTTAACCAAACTCCATGGCCCAGTCAAGTTGACACAAAATTAGCAATCCCAGTTGGTTATACTGATATTCACTAGTGTTCAATTACTTCTTCACACAGTGTGTGTTTATTCTTTTTATATGTTTAAGAAGGAAAGTTGAATTAAAAAACAGAACTATGGCAAGAAGCACTAGAATTCATGTTATCAAATGTAGTAAAAAATAATAAAGACCTAAAATTGGGTTTTGAATAAGTAAATGGAGAAGAGACAAATCTTCCTGATGGAAGAATTCCATTTAATATATGCAGACACTCCACTCTCCAGAGGGTGGAGCTTTTCTTCCCTGCATTGAGGGTGAGACAGATTTAGTGACAGAGTTGGGCAAAGGAAGAAAATAGAAACTGTACAGTGGAGAAACCTGACAAACACGACTTTAACCAAGTGATAAAGGTTAACATTATCAGTGATGTCATGTGGATATCATGTACCCCTATGTGACGTGATAAGAAAGCTACTTCACTTCTATGGTATTCTTCCCCAGAATCTGTAACCCTAGTTTAATTATGAGAAAGACGTCCAATAAACCCAGATTGGTGACCATTCTACAGGATACCTGGCCTGTATTACTCAAGATGGTTAAGTCCATGAAAAACGAGGAAAGTCTGAGAAACCGTCACAGACCAGACCCCCAACAGAGCAGAGGAGACTTTGAAAATATAACAACAAAATGTAATGTGCTAGAGATTGAGTCCCGAGCAGAAACAGGACATTAATGAAAAAGATTGGTAAGTTCAAATCATATACCAATGTTAATTTCTTAGTTTTGACAAATGTACCATGACAATGTAAGATGATAATATTAGGGGAAAATAAATCTGGGTGAGACAAACTGTGTATATTTTGCTACTTTTCTGTAAATCTAAAATTATTCCAAAATACAAGTTTGTTAAAAAAATATATATTAGGTTGATTACTGAAACCCTTGCTAGGGTTTTATCATCTATGAAAGACAATCTGATTTCAAAACTAGAAAGATGCATTTGTGCTTGTCTCCCTCGTTCTGCATGTTAAGTACTCCAGGAGACCAAGAATAGATTTCAGTCATTAGAGATGGCAAACCAAGACCTCTGCTCAGCACTAAAAGTTTTTAAAAGCAAAGAACCAACCAGAGTAGAGATTTATACATGAGATAAGCCCAAGACTGCTGTTGACCTTGAAGGACAAAATAGATGAATCTATTTGACTCAACAGATAAACATTACACATTTGTCCTAGGTGGAAAAGGTGGTATATTGAGGCTATATAATTAAATATTTTTCATTAAAATTTTATAACAATGTTATAACATGTTAGAAAGTCCAATGTATTCTAAAGAGTAAGAGAGGCCAGGACTATGCTAATTAGTGTAAAGGAAGGGAATAATATTTTAACTTTAGAAACCTAAGAATACATGGACTTAAACTACACTGCATTATTTGGTAGTTAAGACAGCAATTGACAATCACACAGCTATAAACTAGATCCAACACAATATACAATGCAAATACAGAAGTAAATAAGACAGTGGAATAATGTTGTGGGGTTTCTTTTCCTTCATTGGTGGTTAGAAACCACTACATGTAATATGAAACGGGGAGATTCACATAATTTTAACTTTGGGATTTTCCAAATATATTAACTGCTTAAAACCAAATTTAAATTTTTAAAAATTGAGATCCAATTATGAAATCTTAAATCGCCAAGCAAAACGTATCAATCATGAACAAGTCTTTTCAGAATGACTACCTTATATCTGGTACTGACCTAACTGTCATATGGATCTTTTAAGAACCACAGCTTACAGTCCTTGTTCTTTAGTACTGTTAATCTTGATGGAGACGTACAGTAAATAAAGGCCTATCAAGTAAATCTATTTTAGTAAGTTTGTGTCATGCTCAACCATTACTTTTATTACTTTTCATGCCCTGACTTCACAGAAAGCAAATAATTGTTTACTGGTCAGTTCTCACAAATATAAATTATGTTTTTAAGTCTGTGAAATTCACATGATGGAAGATCTCATGTGGGATCACCATTAACAAATAGACAAATGAATTCAACTTAGACATTTAAACTTATAGGAATATTGAATAGGATTAAGCAAAGCAATTGCAAACTATCCAACTTTCGTTTCAGAACAAGTATGTCTACTCACTGTGAAGAAAGGTGTCTTTGGAAAGTAATACCAGATCTTTATTGTTTCCTAACACCCATCACTCCCAAATAATGTGATTGCAGAGAGCACAGTGAAACAAAAGGTAGTTTTTGGATTTCATTTTTCAGCACCACAAGATTAGTATGTGGGAGAAAATTCTTTTTTTTCTCTCTTCATCATTTTTTCCCCTAAATAGGGGACTAACTAACTGCTTGCCTCATTGAGAATTCTCCACACAGCTCTACATGATCAGTTTTTCTCTGGATTAACAAGTTATAATGATCAGAACCTCAAGAAACTTCTGAGGAAAATAAAAATAGAATAAGATGAGACCCAGGGTTAGCCAGAAATTTTTCATTTTCTAGAAACTGAAAGGCTGAAATTGCTTTATAACATGAAAAATAATTCAGAGCTGATTCAAATCCCAATTCTTGTATTAAAATGTATGTACTAAAGAAGCTATCTGGTATATTTATGTGTCAACTTTAAGCCTGAAGTCAGCACTGGTAGCAGACTATAGATGTCTTGAATGTTAAAAAAGTGAAGGTACAAATACATTCTGGTGTAGCATTGCTCTTTCCAAATACATTTTTCTATTTTATTCCTCCATACTGGCATAATGAATAGTGCTATTGCTGTTTAAGACTTAAAACAGCTGCATTTCTAATTTTGGCAGATTATGAGGGATTTTTATATGGGTTGCATGTTAAAAGCAAATAAATGACATGCCAACCAACAGAATGAGAGTGCTGGGCAGATGGTGGCATGGCTGAGTTATTGAACTGAAGTGCTATGCGCCACCAATCATGGAACAAAAGGAATATCTGGCAGCTTTTCAAATGAAGCCCAATCTTTTACCTCCAACAAAAATAATTAATGTCCATGAAGTCTTCAGCTAGCCATTTAGTAGCCATTCTCCAGTTGGCTTTGTTAATGCAGGCAGCCTTCAGTGACTTTTAATGATCACTGATCTTGAGGGTATGAAGTATTCTGCCTTTCCTTCCTTTTCTCCTCTAGGATCTTTTGTCGTGTGTGTCTGTGTGTATACAGAGAAAGAGAGAACTGAATATGGAAATAAAGTATTTGTTATGATTTTTCATCACTGCATAGGAAGAAATCAAAGGGCATTCCAATATGACCTCTTAGTAAAAAAGAGCATCTATCCACATAAAACCATAAAACAATCTTGATCAATATTGACCTTCATTGACCAATCCTGATTAACACATTTTTAAACCTGCATTCAGAATGCTACTAGGTACATTTACCCAAAATCTAGATGATTCGTTTGTGAATAAACATCAAGGAATCTACCAAAGAAAGATCTGGCCTTCAAGAGCAGGTTTTTATATGATTCAAGGCAGCTTATGAAGTATAACAATAAAGTTATATGACTGTTTTTAAATGGATATTCTAGAATTTATATACTTAACTGAATGTTGTCTTTTCTAACTTAGACAACATCCATTGTCAGTTACTGACATTTCATTATATTTTGTATGTTTCTGTAAGCCACCAAAACTTACACCATGTATTTTGGGAAAATATGAGATAAAACAGGGAAACAAAGCCATTCATAAATGGTACAAATAGTCTATATATTTTATCATAATACTGCATTGCTCTTCCTGATCTATTTCTTTTTCTCTTTTCTACTTTTCCTGTATCCTTTCTTTCTAAGATGATTTTACAAAAGCCTTATGTCCTAGGCAATGTGCTATATACTTTACATCATAACCATGACCAGTTCTCAGTTTGAAGTTCAGGAAACTGTGGTATTCAAACACTAAATAATTTTCCTAATGCCACACAGCTAGTAAACGTGGCAGCTACTGAAATTAAACTCAGGCCGGTTACTTCTAGACCTGTTCTTTTAATCAGTAGGGTATTCTATGTAACACACAATTAAATAAGATATAGAAAATTTAAAACCCTGGAGAAATTGGGAATTATGCCAAATACAAAAGGTTAGTATAATAAAAGAAATGCAGTATTGACTTACACCAGTATTAAAAGCAGTCTACAAATTAGATTTGAGAGTCCAAAACCAAAGCAAAAACAAACATTAGATGTAATAAGAGTAATATTTCTCATAAAATAGAGCTGTTTGGGGTACTAAGGTATGAGGAATTTGTGCTGTAAGGAAATCACTGGGTGATATAGTGAACAATTTCTTCCATGAGACTTCCACAATATGCTTCCACAATAAATATGGGTGAAGGATATGAACAGACACTTCTCAAAAGAAGACATTTATGCAGCCAACAAACATGAAAAATGCTTATCATCACTGGTCATTAGAGAAATGCAAATCAAAACCACAATGAGATACCATCTCACACCAGTTAGAATAGCAATCATTAA
Organism: Homo sapiens; assembly: GCF_000001405.40. Lineage (NCBI taxonomy): Eukaryota > Metazoa > Chordata > Mammalia > Primates > Hominidae > Homo > Homo sapiens. The sequence goes on from NC_000014.9 coordinate 29,714,444, forward strand.
AAAGTCAGGAAACAACAGATGCTGGAGAGCATGTGGAGAAATAGGAAAGCTTTTACACTGTTGATGGGAGTGTAAATTAGTTCAACGATTGTGGAAGACAGTGTGGTGATTCCTCAAGGATCTAGAACTAGAAATATCATTTGAACCAGCAATCCCATTACTGGGTATATACCTAAAGGATTATAAATCATTCTACTATAAAGACACATGCACACATATGTTTATTGTGGCACTGTTCACAATAGCAAAGACTTGGAACCAACCCAAATGCCCATCAATGATAGACTGGATAAAGAAAATGTGGCACATATACATCATGGAATACCATGCAGCCATAAAAAAGGATGAGTTCATGTCCTTTGCAGGGACATGGATGAAACCAGAAACTATCATTCTCAGCAAACTAACACAAGAACAGAAAATCAAACACCGCATGTTCTCACTCATAAGTGGGAGTTGAACAGTGAGAACACATGCACACAGGGAGGGGAACAATCACACACCGGGGCCCGTTGGGGGATGGAGGGCTAGGGGAGGGATAACATTAGGAGAAATACCTAATGTAGATGACGGGTTGAGGGGTGCGGCAATCCACCATGGCACATGTATACCTATGTAACAAACCTGCATGTTCTGCACATGTACCCCAGAACATAAAGTATAATTTAAAAAGTAAATAAATAATAAAATAAATAAATATGCTACCAAAATTTACAAGTGTGTTATTCATAACATCATTCAATATGTCACATTGAAGGTCATTTTAGTAAAAGTATTTCTGCAGGATGTGCATGTGTGTAAACAGTGTGATCCAAGTTTATACCCTCTTTGGAGTAAAATTTGATTTATCTAGTTGCTCTGTCCAATAGAACTTTTTTCAGATAGTGAAAATGTTCTATATCAATATGGCAGCCATTAGCCACATGTCTCTATTGAACACTTGAAATGTGGCTATTGTGACTTAGGGATTGCATTTTAATTTATTTTAATTAATGTACATAGTCGCATATGGTTAAAAGCTACCACAATGAACTGTGCAGACCTAGATAAATGGTTGCACTGCATATCTCTCAGCCAATTCTCATCAATGGAATTTCATGCTTTTGTAACAAATAGACAAAATAAAAACCCAAACATTGTTATTCTCTAGTTTAAGCCTCAAGCACAAGAAATTTGTGCTGTCCAATTCAGCAGAAAACCAAAGGTTTTTTCAAACATTCTAACTAAAAACAAATCCTATCACCTCTTTATTAAAGTGAGCCAAAATAATCCCTCTTTGAAAGATACTGTAATTGCCTAAAACATTTTTCATAGTATTGTCAGATTCTATAACTCATCCATTTCATTATATCCTATGTGTCAAGCTTTCATTTTTGACATGGATTGTGATATTTTTGAAAATAAACCCCAAATAATCCAGAGTCAAATTTAGTAAATAAGCCACATGCGTTTTAGAAGCCAATTTATATAAAAAGGCAAAAATAACAAGCTAATGCCTTACTATATTTTTTAGAATGATTCTTAATATCCAAGTCCTGTTGTGCCATCAAGGCCCTAACATGGCACTTACATAAATTAGACCAGACCGTTAAACTTCCATTCTAAGAAGCAAATATAAGGAATTTTTAGCTTCACAGTAACCAGAGCATAGAGACAAAAGTCCCCTTTGTGTGGTTTTCATTGCCCTCGTGTTCTTTTCCTGTTTTCATGGGTGACAGTTATAATACTGTCTTCAATTAGCACAGTAATAGATGAAAAGAGAAGAGAAGCAGAAACAGTAATTTCTGGCTGAAAATCCACTTGCCAGATGTTGAGGAACTAGGCCTTAGGCTAATTCTGTGTGAAGAGAGAAGCTTGATATGTCCTTCCATGAAAACCACGGTATGTATTGCTGACAGAGATCTATGGAGATTTAGAATCCAGTTCTGGAGCACATGACTCAACTTTTTCTGTAGGTCTTGCCAGCTGACCCTTAGGCAGGGACAGCTGTTCTGCTAAATGGATAAAACTACAGAGGAGGAGGGGAAGAAGGAACAGCAGGAGAGGTCAGCCAGACCTCAGGATATCAATCCTCTTTCCTTCCAGACTCTGAAATAGAAAGGCCAGAGCCCAAGGCCATCTCCAGGGCCACCTCTTAGGAGCTGTAACGAAGATATGAAACACAGAGGCTCCAGAAAGAAAAAGACAATGAATAAATTGACGAAGTCAAATGAGATGAGTATTGGGGGGTACATCAAAAAGGAGTAACTACTGAATACATCTCAGAAAGAAAGCAAGAATATTTAGGAAGAAAAGAGCAATGGTTGGGAAAACTGATTCACTGAAGAGTGAATTTAGTACAATAGCAAATGGGGTTATTTGGTCATGGTGATGAACACAATCCAGGAATCATAGAAATTAGGAAAACAATTGGTATTCCATGAATTAAGTATAATTTTGCTTGAGAAATACTGTGAAAGAAACTGCAATGTTTAAAAACAGGACTTTTAAAAATAAATAAGCAATTTTCTAAAAGACATTTTTGACAATATTTAGGAGATAACAAGAGTCCAGAAAAAGAAGAATTAATCAGATGATAATATTAATTTTACTAATAGATTATGTCAAGAAGAACTAATAAAATTCAATTCCTATACAACAACATTAACTTTTGGATATCATACATAGGACATCAATTTAATTATTCATGTATTTGCTGGCTTGTACATTTCATTGATTTAAGGATTCATTCTTTCACTCAATAAATAGATATTGATTGCATGTGATATACCAGATCCTAAAGTTTCAAATATTAAAATAAATCGTTCCTATTTCAAGAAATGTGTAGTGCAGTGGGGTGGAGGTGGGGTAAGAGGATTGAGTACTTTACATTTGGCAACCATCTTGTGAAATGCTTTATATTTATTCTCATGAATTCTACAGCCCAACCATATATTGGAGATACTGTTAATGTTATTTTACAGCAGATGGATCAAGATTCAGGGAAATGGGGTGACTTGCTGAACATTATATAAGAAATAAATGACAACTCTGGGACTGAAACCAAAGTATTGACTGAAAATCAACTACTTATGAAATTGAAGCTATGTGGAGATATAACATAAATATGATGCATATTTCTGAGTTAATATATGTGAAGCACTTGGAACAGTGCATAACATATCATAAATATATTACCATCACTATTGTTATGTTACCATCACTATTGTTATATTAACATCACTATTGTTATTATTATTTCTAAAAGAACAATATGTGGCAAGAAATATTATTTATTTAAAAGTATACAGCATGAAGAATATAATGCAGCAGAATGGAAAATGTGCATAAAATTTTCATATGAAATAAGAGGCTTCAAGACTTTTCACTTCCGGGTTTGTCTTATTCCCCAGTTGACCTGGACAGAATTTCTTCCCTCTGCCTTGATATTTAGGGGTGCTTGAGGAAAAATAGATGGAGAAACAATGCACTATTGTGTCATTGCTTCTCCATCTCCTCCCTGGAGAATCCATTTTATCAGGAGATAAATAACCAAGAAAACTATCAAAGTGAGGAAGAAGTGCACCAAGCACAATATCCCTACTGAAGTCACAAGTAGGGAAAAGTGGGAGTCTATGGTAACATTCCAATCTGCTTGCTGTCTGCATTCTCTTCTCTGAGAAAATGGTTTAGTGTGGCACAAAGAAATTAAAACCAGGTTGATATGGTTAGGCTTCGTGTCCCCACCCGAATCTTATCTTGAATTGTAATCCCCACGTGTCGAGGCAGGGAAGTGGTTAAATTATGGAGGTGGTTTCCCCCATGCTGTTCTCGTGATAGTGAGTGAATTCTCACAAGATCTGATGGTTTTATAGATGGTAGTTTTCCCTGAGCTCTCACAGGCACTTCTGCTACTGCCATGTGAAGAAGGTCCTTGCTTCCCCTTCACCTTCTGCCATGATTGCAAGTCTCCTGAGCCCTCCCAACCATGTGGAACTGTGAGTCAATTAAGCATCTTTTCTTTATAAATTACCCAGTCTCATGTAGTATCTTTATAGCAGTGTGAAAATGGACTAATACACAGGTTTACTTGAAAGATAAGAATGGAAAGAGAATATTAACAATCACAAAAAGGAAATGCTGAAGACACATTTAACATAAGCCATACTTGGGAGAAAAGAGAAATGACGTGTATTTTCACATTTAGATTTTCCACTGTTACAAAACCACCTGCAAAGAAAATTGCAACTGAAGTTAGAGAAGATTTGGCTCCATTCAGCCTGTGACACTTAGATGTCCAAGTACAAACACAAGGAAATATAAATTGAGCATTGAAGGCCAGGTCTTATAAAACCTTAGTTGCCCAAGTAGTAGTAGGGCTGAGAAGGTGTTGCCCACAATTAATTCTGCCTTCTTAAAAGCAAACAAACAAAAACTATATCTATGCAATATACTTTTGAGGAAATAATACAGTGATTTACTATATCACTCTTGGGGTTTTTATCTTCTGCCTAAATTTCACAGAAGATAAAATATTGCTACATTGCTAACCAATGTATTATATCTAAGACAAATTAATATAATATTATATCTAAGAGAAATTAATATATAAAGTCAGTAATTTGCACTTTCTATAAAAGAAAAAAGAAGCTTAATAAAATGTTGTTACCATATTTTTTTTCCTGGTTTATGATTTAGGCATTGAATCGTAGTAGGAGTAAAACATGCTTATAAGGATTTCTTAAATATAGTGACCCTAAGACACTATTTCCATTTTGATCAGAATTGTGAACTTATGATGGGATCCTAGTGATGCAGTGACACTGTTATATTGCTTTATATTTTGTATTATAACTATAGAGAAGAACCTTCAGGGTTTTCTTAACCTCATTAAAGTTTGAGTATATGAATTAAATATTTACATTTTTATGAGGAAGAGGATGATAATGGTCTATGACAAACATCATCTCAATGGTTCCTGAAGCTCACTGCTACTTTTGCTGTTACAAATATCATCAATGGTCCCTGAAATATAAACTCTTACTGCAATAGGAATTCTTTGAACAAGTCCTCAACTATTTCTGTTTACTTGTTCAAGTTCAAAGGGCTAAATGGTATTGAAATGGTATTAATAGTGACTGAACACTTAGATTCAAGCTCTGGTGTTACTCCTACTCTCTGCAGGACATAGGCAAGTTACAATTTATATTCTATAGCTTTTCAAATATCTGACTTCTCTACTTTCCAGAGTCATTGTGAAGGAAACAAATTACTTACATAAACTGCTTCAAAAACCTGTGATATTATGTAAGCAAAGATTTCATGCTTCCTAACTCCTACTTTTCTATGGCTCAAATCTTCCCCCTCTGTGCAGAGAGACTGGATCATCCTCTCAGACAATTTGTTCCATGGTCATCACCCAGAGGAGTATCTGTAGAGAGTGGCCTGCTGAACCAGGACTCACCAGATGCTCAGAGAGGGGAAAAAGTATTCCGTGAGAAAGTGAACTTGGGCATGATTTTGGAGAGTTATGCTTCACATTAGCATGCACCAAAGTTCTAAAGAGACTTGCAGCAAATAATTCCTTTAAAGTTGTTTAGCCCAACATTTTCCAAAGTTAAAGGACCAGGATTCCCTTTTGCGGTATGTTTAATAAGCATACGCATCACATTTAAAGGCTGCTTAGAGTGTGAGGAGAAGAAGCAATCTTAATAGTTTACATTTATTGTGGAGTTGCTATGTATAGAAACTGTCTGAGGTGCTTTACAAGCAATTTTACTTTAATTTATGTAAACACCTTACAATATAGGTGCTAGGGTTATCCCCATTTTACAGATGAGGAAACGTGGGCACAGAATGATTACAAGTCTTGGCAATGTAAGTAGTGAAGAATAGATAAAGGATATGAACTCAGATTTTCTGGCCCTGGAAATTATACTCTATCCTCATGCCTAATACTTTACTTCCAGAATGAAAACAAGTATAGAATGCATGTAATATTATCACTGTATGATACTTTCATCTAGTAGAAGCTTTTTGTTTGATTAAAAAACAAACAAAAAAAATCCTGAAGCCCAAGCCGAGCACGGTGGCTCACGCCTGTAATCCCAGCACTTTGGGAGGCCGAGACAGGCGGATCACAAGATCAGGAGCTCAAGACCAGCCTGGCCAATACAGTGAAACCCTGTCTCTACTAAAAATACAAAAATTAGCCGAGCGTGGTGGTGTGCGCCTGTAATCCCAGCTACTCCAGAGGCTGAGGCAGGAGAATTGCTTAAACCCGGGAGGTGGAGGTTGCAGTGAGCCAAGATTGAGCCACTGCACTCCAGCCTGGGTGACAGAGCAAGATTCTGTCTCAAAAAAAATAAATAAATAAATAAATAAATAAATCCTGAAGCCCAAAGGTTTTGCAACTTGTACAAAATCATGAAGGAAATCAATGATACTACCTTCCTGAGAAATTAGTTCTTCAGCCCCTCAGATAAGTACCTGAATCATTTGGCAAACACATTGAACAATGTTTGAGGGCAAGACTTGGGGTGGGATAAAGGAAATGTCATCGCACTCTCACATAGCTGTAGCTCTCCTGAGAGTTCTGTTGATTTTTTCATTCCTCCTTCATCAACTACATCAAAATGGTTATTATGTTTGTTCACTTTTACTTCTAAAATATTTTTGACCTCTCTGTCTCATTTTCAGCTCTTCTGTCATAGCCCGAGAATAGGCCCACGCCTCTTCTGCCTGGACTACAGTGCCAGCTCTCTAATGAGGCTCCCTTCTCTTGATAGTGAGGACCAAAAACTAACTACATGTGGAAATAGCTTTTTGCAAAAGTTATAATACAAGATAATCTACTGTAAATCTATAATGAAAGAAGCCCAAGAAAAACATTTATTTTTTAACCTTAAGTGTAAGAAGGAAAGATTCAACATTTATCTTTCAAACTTTTAAAACTGTGACTTTATTTGAGGAATTCTTGTAGTCCTTTTCTAGTCTCTATTTAACTACCTACAAGATACACACACATATAGACATAAACACACACATATATACACTGATAATTATTAGAGATCAAGCCAAAACCAACCAAACAAACAGTGTTTTGAGTCATGTAAATGTAGTCCTGTTACTAATTTGTTTGCTAAGGCTGAATTATCAGGATTTGATAGAGGCCCATCATGAAGAAGGCTTCAAATACATTCCACAACCTTGATTTTACAGTTCAGTACCATACACTTGAACTTCACTCTGGTAAAAAAAAAAAAATTTCCATGTTCAGTGTTTTCCTACTTCTTAACAATAGTAAGAATGCTAGTCCTTTGTTTAACATACAAAGAGAATTTGCCAGTAGTGGGGATAGGTGGGGTAGGGAACTTTCATGCAGTTGTTATTTTTTTCCTCAATAACCCAATCCATCTACTCATGAGCAATCTTTTCCTGGCTTACTGCGTTTAAATGTACTAGCTCACACTAGTCATGTTTTTCAAAAAGAAACGGAGGGAGAAAAAAATCAGCAAATTAGCCAGAAGCAGCTTGGTTAGTTTTCACTCCCAAAGCAGTTAAAAGATGATGAAAAGTCTGAGCAGAAAATGATATAAGCAAAGAAAAAAAAAAATCTTGATGTTGTCTGAAGAAATAAAATTAACCTTGAAATTTTTCCCTATTTTTTCTCTCATTTTTACTGCAGTCCTGTGTCAGAAAATGTTCCTGCTGGTAGATTGTTAGTTAAATATAAAAACAACCAGGTTATGTTTACATCAAACTACAGAGTAAAATTTAATTTGTGATAAGGAAAAAGAAAGTTCAGATAAATAAAACTTAACAGTAAAACTACAGGCTTCAGAAGGAAAATGCAGCACCCTTCGTGTCCCCTTCAGGGACTAGGTCAGGAAGGAGTATGTAATCCAAGCTCTCCTGCACATATGGCCTGAAGTGTCCTTGCTGCTATCACTCGCCTTGCCACAAATTATAACATGGTACAATCCTACTCACTTGATAGGCCCTGATTTCTCTTATGTGGGCCAAAAGAATGCATAGCAAGAAGACTTGAAGTTCAGTTTATTTCTGAGGATATATCTAGAAATAATATTTTACAACAAATCGATATTTTTACAAAATGGTATATATGTAGTAACTTTATTCTCATAGCCAGTAGTTAATAAGTGAACTCATACATATTTATTGAGAACCTCATATCTATGGATAACAAAAGGATGAGGTGGGGGAAAGATTGCTGAACAATAGTTAGGCCAGGTGAAAGTTGGATCTGCATTTAGTCAGGTAGGCTGGGAACTGTGTGTCCTATGTGGCTCGGGAAAAGAATGGCAAAAATGGGTGGTAAAGTAATTCAGATTACTAACAGGTATTGCAGGCCCTGCCCGGGTATACAAAGTCATTGAAACTCCATCAAAGTGTGGTGTAAGACATGAATATAATAAGTCGCATGCTATGTGGAGAAAAAAGAAATAGAAAAATATGGTCAAAAATGGTAGGGAGTTAGTGATTAAAATACAGTGAAAAAGTCAGGGAACAGGAATGTGCACTTGGTAGAGATGGACAAGAAGGACAGGCTAGAGTAGGAGAAGAGGAGTGCTACCAAGTGGAGATTTTGAAGCTGGAGCCTTGTCTTATTGGTGAAGTCAGGAATGGCATTATGGGTGACTGATAATAAAAATAAATAACAAGGAATCTGAAGAATCATAAATATGTATGTTAACAAAACCAAGGATGAATGAGTACTTAAAATGGAAAGTAAAATTAGGAATCTGACAACAATTATTGCCATACTTAAATGGAAATGAGTCTTCAAGGAAAATAAATCACTTCACTGCAAAGAAGGTGACATAAATAATTAAATGGCAATGGGAAATCAGAAGAGGGCCATATCACTCAACTCCTCAACTAAGAGTGGAGGAAAATAAGAGGCAAAGCCTCTTGGAAATGGGGCATCACCTTCAGGAGAGTCAGGATGCAAGGAAGACATAAAGACCGGGAAAAAGAAAGGAACATCAGGCATTTGATCACAATAGACTCAGGGCCTAAAAAGGCTAAGGGAAAAGAGATAAGAGATATGGGTAAGAAACAGGGTTGTAATACAAAGGGGTGGGATGGTTTAAAAAACTATTGTAAACATAAACATTTATTGAGCAAATCACAATGCTAAGCAATAGAGTGGGAGAGGAGCTGGGAGAGTACTGCTGTCGATGGTTATAGGTAAGCGCAGGAGATCTAAACATAATTGAGTGTGCGTGTGTGTGTGTGTGTGTGTGTGTAATTGATATACTAACTGAACAATTTAAAGGGTCAATGACTTTGGGAAAATGGCACTATGTCGTTCAAAACTAGAATTAAACTGTTAGAGAATAGCTCCTTTTAAATTCCAGCAAAATAGCTGGTAAGAGTAAGGGAGCCCTTCTGGAGTCTGGTGCTGGGAAAGCAGGTAAGGAAATGGGCTGCTCTTAAATGCCCTCTCAACAACTGTGGCCAGGAAAACAGGAGACATGGAACATAAAGGGTGGACAGCAGGGGAGGTAGGGCATACGCACAATGAAGTTCTCAATTTGCAAAGATGGGAGAGGAAAAGCAGAATGCTGTTCTCATGCAGCAAGGGAATTCTAGAGGGCTACATCAGGTCAACACGAGGGAAGAGCAGGTCTGGCTCATTAATGCTGGGATAACATGCAAATAAGCAGTCCTCTCCTACATAAATACACCCACACACAGGTTGCATTCAATCTGTCTGCTACTACTCTAAAGTGCTTGATAACAAAAGTAAAATGGAAAGAATAATACATTATATTTAGAAATGCAATTTTAAAAGTCCTCATATATTTCTGGACATTGACACAAGGCAAAAGGACTCATAAAACATTACATTATTTACAAAGCAGCCTGGCTGTGAGTTTAATATGAATTATGGCAAGAACTGATCCAGTGCATGATTTCCCTGAATAATTAATTTAGTGTTCAGAAACAGGAAACTTAGAAAACAACATGTCTAGTCCGTAGTTTTGAGAGGTCAGGTGCAGGCAACAGAAAAATAATTACCTTTATCTAGCAAAAAAGTTGTTTTATAGGATCCATCTACACAATGAAGTTGTGGCAATCCCAGGATCTCACACAACTGTAGGCAACCAATAAAGATAAAAAAGAGAACTAGACTGAATCAAAGCAAAGTGAATAAAACAAAGATAAATTGAATTATAATCAGTGCATCCAAGTACTGGGCTCTGAACAAGTTGAGGAACTTGAGGAAATAAACTTGAGACTCTGTAATGCTGCTGGACTTCTTTTATTCAAAGAGATGGTAAACAAAGAAGGCATGAGAGGAGAAAAGAGCAAGGCAATCCAAGTTTCTCAATAATTATTCTCTTTTTAACAAAAATAAACAATAAAAATTTGGATACATTATCATTGCATTGAGTATCATTGTAAGGATCTCCACTCTAGCTGTTGTTCTCTGGTGCTTTTTAAAAAGGTTAAATACATTCTTTTTTTTCTGTTTGGTTAGGCACAGTCCTATTACTAACTGCTAAATCCTAAACAAGAAATAAAAAATGTGAGCAGAGGCAAATGTAGCCATTTCTCAGGGACTGAGTTAACTAGCGTCACATGGCATGACCTGACCTTCTCTAACTCCTGGGCTCTGGCTTCCTCCTTGGTCTTGGCTTACCTCATAGCTACTGGACTTTTGACCTTAGTAAGTCAAAGGCTTCTTAGCCCTGGTGCTATTTCTTGGCTTCCACACATTCTGTACAATTGCAGCCCTGACAGCTAATTTAGCTTCACTGTTGGTGAGTTTCTTGTTTGCTTTTGCTGCTGTCCAAATGATTCAAGGTGCTGAATGACGCCATCTGTATGTTGCTAGAGGCTGAGAGGGGGCTGGGAGGAAGCCTTAAGTCAAGAGACGTGATTGGAGCAGTACTGGGTGTGGACACAGCCAATTAAAGGGAAACCTTTTGTTTCCCTTTTTCATGTGGACAGAGCTCCAACATCTTCTCTTGGAGCTGAGTTTGAGATATGCTTTTTATGTTTCCTTAAAAACATATGCCCAAGAATTCTTCAAATACAACTTCTAATCTACGGATAAAGAAAAGGTATAAAAGTATACTACCTGACAAGACCACTTCAATAAGATCGCCTTCCTGGATATCACTGGCCGCTTTCACCAGCTGAAGGATGTTTTCAGAGGTAGGGTCATGGCGAAAAAGCAGGATCTTATCATACATTCCGTAGAAACCACATTCAGGGAACTGCAAATACAAATACCATGAGAGTGTAAATGTCAAAATCCTTCCAAATATTTTGTTTTAAATATTTCAGGGCACAAATACAAGCTAATTAGAAAAGTTCAAAGTATCTAGATCATTAAAATATTTTAAAATTAAAAAATAAATAAATGGTAGAGTTGATATTGGGAAGACTCCAAATCAGAAGGAAAGAAATCACATAGATCACAGGGGCAGTAATGGTCAAGTGGTTTTCTAATTAGACAGCAAGAAAACAAGAGAATATGAGATAAGATTTAAATAAGTTCTGGCAGTAAAGTGGTTAAGAAATATAGGTGGGAAGAGGTGTGCACTTTCAGATGATTTACAGCAATCCAGTAACATAAAAAATGGGAGTCGCTTTATTCCAATTCCATTACACATAATAATGGCAATTTGTTTGCAAAAAACTGGGTCTGTCTGTTTTGGCATATTCAAAAATAAGAGATGCCTCAATAAATCTAAACATATTCTGTATGTGAGTAGTAGCATTATCTAGATCCTTTGATCAGGAGATCAGGGGAGGCAATCCACCTCTCCCTTCTGCTGCTGCCCCTACTGCATTCCATGTGGCTTTCATGCAATCTGTCAATCCACAATCTCATGAGCAGTGTAAGAAAAGGTCCATCTGCACAGCATGGAGGGTTTCTGTTAAAGCAAACAACCTAGGCTAATTTATTATATGAAAAGGGCCCTTTTCTTGTAATGACTTTTTCACATAATTATTAAAGAATGCTATTTCTGCCATAAATTGACATTTGTAATGTAGTGGGAAAAGATGCAAACTCAGGGAAAAAGAAAATTATCTTTCTTCATCCTGGAACTGATGACAGATCTGACACTTATGTCAATACAGGTGGACCTTAAGAAGCTACTGTCGGGGAGAAATGTCCAGAATCTAATACCTGCTGGAGATAAAAACAATACATTATAAACCTCTCTTTCTTTTTCTTAGTCTTAGAATTAGGGGCTAAATTCACATGAATCATTTTGTGTATGAACTAAAAATAAATATAATGAGAACATCTTATTGCTCTTAGTGCTGATGACCAGGCTTAAAACTATTTCTGCATGTCACTTAGTAAAGTTAACTTCCTTAAAAAAAAAAAACACAACAGCTGAAATGATGTCACTGCTTCCAGTGTGCTAACTAAAAGAAAAAAAAAACTTAGTTCACTTTATTTTTTTTAGAAATATGTCCAATAGTCCTTTGGGTATATACCCAGTAATGGGATGGCTGGGTCAAATGGTATTTCTAGTTCTAGATCCCTGAGGAATCGCCACACTGACTTCCACAATGGTTGAACTAGTTTACAGTCCCACCAACAGTGTAAAAGTGCTCCTGTTTCTCCACATCCTCTCCAGCAGCTGTTGTTTCCTGACTTTTTAATGATTGCCATTCTAACTGGTGTGTAATGATATCTCATTGTGGTTTTGATTTGCATTTCTCTGATGGCCAGTGATGGTGAGCATTTTTTCATGTGTCTTTTGGCTGCATAAATGTCTTCTTATGAGAAGCATCTGTTCATGTCCTTTGCCCACTTTTTGATGGGGTTGTTTTTTTCTTGTAAATTTGTTTGAGTTCATTGTATATTCCGGATATTAGCCCTTTGTCAGATGAGTAGGTTGCGAAAATCTTCTCCCATTTTGTGGGTTGCCTGTTCACTCTGATGGTAGTTTCTTTTGCTGTGCAGAAGCTCTTTAGTTAATTAGATCCCATTTGTCAATTTTGGCTTTTGTTGCCATTGCTTTTGGTGTTTTAGACATGAAGTCCTTGCCCGTGCCTATGTCCTGAATGGTAATGCCTAGGTTTTCTTCTAGGGTTTTTATGGTTTTAGGTCTAACGTTTAAGTCTTTAATCCATCTTGAATTGATTTTTGTATAAGGTGTAAGGAAGGGATCCAGTTTCAGCTTTCTACATATGGCTAGCCAGTTTTCCCAGCACCATTTATTAAATAGGGAATCCTTTCCCCATTGCTTGTTTTTCTCAGGTTTGTCAAAGATCAGATAGTTGTAGGTATGCGGCATTATTTCTGAGGGCTCTGTTCTGGCAAAGACTTGGAACCAACCCAAATGTCCAACAATGATAGACTGGATTAAGACAATGTGGCACATATACACCATGGAATACTATGCAGCCATAAAAAATGATGAGTTCATGTCCTTTGTAGGGACATGGATGAAATTGGAAATCATCATTCTCAGTAAACTATCGCAAGAACAAAAAACCAAACACCGCATATTCTCACTCATAGGTGGGAATTGAACAATGAGAATACATGGACACAGGAAGGGGAACATCACACTCTGGGGACTGTTGTGGGGTGGGGCGAGGGGGGAGGGATAGCATTGGGAGATATACCTAATGCTAGATGACGAGTTAGTGGGTGCAGCGCACCAGCATGTCACATGTATACATATGTAACTAACCTTCATATTGTGCACATGTACCCTAAAACTTAAAGTATAATAATAAAAAAAAGAAATATCTCCAATAATACTATTACAGCACAAGGAAACAAAGGGAAAATAAAAATAACATTTTCTTCACTTTAAAAAACAATGGATACCTCATGCACTATTTTAAAAATCAACTTCATTGAAGTATAAATTACATGAAATAAATTGATATAAGTGGATAAATCTATGAGTCTTGACAAATATAACTACCCATATAACCAAAATCACAATCAAGCCATGAGACATTTTCATCAACCCCAAAAGTTTTATTGCAATCTATGTAACCAACAATGTTAACCTCAGGCACAGATCTACTTTCTGTCACCCTAGTTTACCTTGTCTGACATAGAATTTCATGTAAATGAAATCATAAAATATGTTATATGTACTCTTTTCTGGCTGGCTTTTTTGGCTTATTATAAAGTTTTTGAGATTCATTCATACATACATTTGGGTTCTTTCACCTTTTATTACTTATTAGTATTTCATTAAATGGATCTAGCATAATTGTTTATCAGTTCACCCACAAATGGACATTGTAGTCTTTTTTTCCAGTTTGCAGCTATTACAAATAAAAATGCAATGAACATTATGTACAAGTGTTTCAGTGGGTACATGCTTCCGTTTCTTGTGGGTAAATACCCAGAAGCAGCATTGTTGGGTCATATGATAAATTCATGTTTGAGCTGTATGTCTATCCTTAATAAACTTACCACCACATTATATTTATTATTGTAGCTTTATCCTAAGCCTGAAATTCAGGTAGTGAGAGCCTTCCAATGTCTTTTCCCTTTCAAGATTGTTTTGGATATAGGACCATTGAATTTCCATATACATTTTAGAAATGCTTTGTTGATTTCTACAAAAAGTTGTGAATTTATAAAAAGCCCACTCTATCATGTATTTCTTTATAGACCATGCTTTTGCTAATAAATCCTTGCATAACCAAATTTTCTCCTATATTTTATTCTACAAATCGCATTGTTTAAAATTTTACATTTGAGTCTATGATCTACTTCAAGGTAAGTTTTGAATAGGGCAAAATATATGGATTGAGATTCATTTTTTGGCATATTCTGGAAGATTTGTACAGACTTGGTATTATATCTTCCTTAAATGTTTGGTAGAATTCTCTGCTGAAGCCATGTTAAGCCCAGATTTTCCTTTGCTGGAGGACTTAAAACTTCATATTCAATATCTGTATAGTATACTTTAGACTTCAATTTCCTCTTAAGTGACTTTTGGCAGTTTGTTTATTTTCAGAAAGGTATCCATTTCATTCAAGTTGTCAAATTTCTTGGCATAAAGTTATTCATGTGATTCCCTTACCACCCTTTTAATGACTATCCAGTTTGTAGTGATGTCTCTTCATTAATTTCTTATATCCTTTCTTTTTTGTTTGGTCTGGTAACAAACTTGTCAATTTTATCAATTTCTCTTGTAATGAACCAGCAGTTGTTTCATGGAATTTCTCTATTATTTTTCTATACTTAGTTTCATGGATTTCTTTTCCTATCTTTATTATTTCCATTCTTTAACTTAACTTTAATTTGTTCTTTTCTTCCTAGATTCTTATAGTGGAAGCTTGTATTATTGATTTGAGACATTTGAGACTTAGTTTAATATGACCATTTAATGCAATAAATACTTCAGCAATATTTCACAAATTTTGAAAAAGCTGTGTCTTTATTTTCTTTCAATTCAAAATATTTTCTATCATACCATATATAAAAACAAACTCAAAACAGATTACAGACATAAAGATAAGACCTAAAACTATAAAATTACTAGAAGATGTGGAGACAACTCCATGACATTGGTATGGGCAACGATTTTTTTATATGACCCCAAAAGCACAAACAAAAAAAAGCAAATATAGACAAACGTTAAGACATCAAACTAAAAAGCCTCTGCACAGCAAAGGAAACAATCAATAGAGTGAAGAGACCACCTGTGGAACAACTCAATAGCAAGAAAACAAATAATCCAATTAAGAAATAGGCAAAGGATCTGAATAGACATGTCTCAAAAGAAGATGTACTAATGGCCAATAGGTATATGAAAAATAGACATTTCTCAAAAGAAGACATATAAATGGACAACACGTATATGAAAAATTGCTCAACATCACCATTCAGAGAAGTGCAAATTAAAAACACAATGAGATATTACCTCAACCCTGTCAAAATGGCTACTATAAAAACAAAATGAACAGATAACAAGTATTGATGAAAATATGGAGAAAAGAGAACCCTGTACACTCTGGGGAATGCAAATAGGTACAGCCACTATAAAAACAGTATGGAGGTTCTTCAAAAAACTAAAAATATAACTACCATATGATCCAGCAATCTGACTTCTGGGTATCCATAAGGAATATCCGGAGGAATTGAAGTGAGGATCTCAAAGAGAAAACTGCATTCCCATGTTCACTGCAGCATTATTCACAATAGCCAAGATATGAAATCAACCTTAGTGTCCATCAATGAATAAATATATATAGAAAATGTGGTGTATTGATACAGAATGGAATACCACTCAACCTTAGAAAGAAATATTAACATTCCGGACATGATTAAACCTGGAGAATAATACGTTAAGTGAAATAAGCCAGGCACATAAAAACATCTACCATATGTGGAATCTAAAAAACCTGAATGCATAAAAGCAGAGAGTAGAACAGTGGTTACTGGGGCTAAGCGGTGGGTGAGAAATGGTCAGTGATGTTGGAAAAAGGATATAAAATTTAAGTTAGGAGGAATAAGTTCAAGATATCTATTGTATAATGAGGTGACTATAGATAATAATATTATATTGTATTTTTGAAAGTCACTAAGATAATAGAAAAATTTAAGTGTACTTACCACAAAAAAAAGGTAAGTAAGTGAGGTATGCATATGTTAACTACCTTGATGTAGCCATTCCACAATGTATACATAGTTCAAAACATGATGTGGTATATGGTAAATATACATAAGTTTTGTCAACTAAAACCATTAATTAATTTTAAATATATGTAGTCTAAATTCCCTTGTGAATTTCTCTTTAACCCATGGGTTATTCAGAAGAGTGTTGTGAAATTTCCAAATACTCAGAGATTTTTCCAGATAACTTTATGTTCTTAATTCCTCATTTAATTCTGCTAAGGTCCAAATCCTACTTTGCATAAATTTAACACTTTTACATTTCCTAAGACGTTTTATGGCCCAGGAGGTCAAACTTGGTGAATATTCTATGTGCATCTGAAAATAATGTGTATTCTGCTGTTGTTGGGTGGCAAGTTCTATAAATATCCGTTAGATTAAGTTGACTGATAGTTTTTCAGATTTTCTATTTGCTTAATAATTTTCTGTTTGTTCTATAAATTAATGAGAAAGAAATATTGATGTCTTCACATATACTTGTGGATTTTTTTCTCTTTTTCCTTTCAATTCTATTATTTGCTTTAAGTATTCTGAAGCTCTGCTGTTAGGTGTATAAACAATGAAACTTGGTACATTTTCTTGAAGAATTTATCCGTTTCATAATATGTGGTGTCCCTCTTTATATCTGGCATTATTTCTTGTCCTTCATGAACATATAACCATTTTAAACTTCTTAGAATTAATGTTTCCATGGTACTATGTTGTCATTCTTTAAATCCCTGTGTCTTTATAAAGTTGTTGTACACACGTATATATGACTCCCTCATCTTTTTGTGCAGTCTGACAATCTCTACTTTTTTTTTTTTTTTTTTTTTTTTGAGACCGAATCTCACTCTGGCGCCCAGGCTGGATTGCAATGGTACGATCTTGGCTTATGGCAACCTCCAACTCCTGGGTTCAAGTGATTCTCCTGCCTCTGCCTGCCGAGTAGTTGGGATGGCAGACGTACACAGTACACCCAGCTAATTTTTGTATTTTTAGTAGAGATGGGGTTTCTCCATGTTGGCCAGGCTGGTCTCGAACTCCTGACCTCAGGTGATCCACTCACCTTGGCCTCCCAAAGTGCTGGGATTACAGGCGTGAGTCACTGCGCTGGACCAACAATCCTTACCTTTTAAGTTGTTTCTATCATTTATATTTTAATGTATATGCAATTAAGGATACTAGCTTACCAATTTTTTTCTGTTTGTTACATCTGTTTTTTTGTTACTTTTTTTCCTTTTCTATATTATTTGATATTATTTGTTGATACTTCTTTTTATCTTCTCTCCTGGTTTATTTGTATAATTATCCTATTTCACACACAATGACCTTAAAGCTGTATATTTCCATTTCTCCTCTTCCTGCCTTTATGCTATTTTTCTATGTCTTTTACATACACAAATGTTAGAAAAACCAAAATAGAATGGTATTTTTTGCTTTAAATAATTACCTTTAAAATAATGTTTAAAATAAAAAAGTATCTAATTTTACTATTTCTGTCACTCTTCATGGATTTGTATAGAGCCAAGGTTTCACATGGTATCACTTTCTTCCATCTGATGAATTTTCTTTAGTATTTCATAAAAGCTGGATGGCAAACACTTTTCTCAGATTTTCTCTCTGAAAGTTTTTATCTCATCTTTTTTTGGAAAGCTATTTTTGTTGTATATAGAGTTGTATGTTAATGTTTTTAGCTCTTTAAAATGTAATTCCCTTGTCTCCTGCTTTGAATTATTTCTGATGAGAAGTATGTGTTATCTGTTCCCCTGTATGCAATGTTTTTTCTTCCCTAATTATTTTACAGTTTTAATCTTCATCAATGACTTTAAACAATTTGATAGTGATGTGCCTTGAAGTGTTTTTTTTTTTTTTCAGTTTATCTTGGTTGAGGTTCACTGTGCTTTGAACTATAGATTTATACATTTCATGACATTTAGAAAATTTTCACCATTGTTTTTGTCTTTAGGGGAGGTTCAGTTTGGATAATTTCCATTGCTATGAGTTCACTGATATTTTCTTTTCTTTTTTTATTTTTTTAATTTTTATTTATTTATTTTTTTTTTTTGAGATGGAGTCTCGCTCTGCCGCCCAGGCTGGAGTGCAGTGGCGCAATCTCGGCTCACTGCAAGCTCCGCCTCCCAGGTTCAAGCCATTCTCCTGCCTCAGCCTTCCAAGTAGCTGAGACTACAGGCGCCCGCCACCACACCTGGCTAATTTTTTGTATTTTTAGTACAGACGGGTTTTCACCGTGTTAGCCAGGATGATCTCCATCTCCTGGCCTCGTGATCCACCCACCTCGGCCTCCAAGTGCTGGGATTACAGGAGTGAGCTACCGTGCCCGGCCAGTTCACTGATATTTTCTACTGTGATGTCTAATCTGCCATTTAAATATATGCTATTAGTCGGTTCTCATGCTGCTATAAAGAAATACCTGAGGCTGGTTAATTTCTAAAGAAAAGAGGTTTAATTGACTCAGTTCAGCATGGCTTGGGAGGCCTCAGGAAACTTACAATCACGGTAAAGGTGAAGGGGAAGGCAAGACACCATCTTCACAAGGCTGCAGGAAGGAGAATTGCTGAGTGAAGGGAAGAACCTTTATAAAATCATTAGATCTCATAAGAACTCACTATCATGAGAATAGCATGGGAGAAACTGCCTCCATGATTAAATTACCTCCACCAGATAATCCCCTTGACACATGGGGATTATGGGGATTACAATTCAAGATGAGATTTGGTTGGGGACACAAAGCCTAACCATATATACCCAGTAAACTTTTCATATAAATATTATATTTTTCAGTTCTAAAAGCTGTGTTTGGTTATTTTATATGTGTTCCATTTCTCTCCTAAGTATGTTCATGTTTTCATTTAAATCCTTGATTTATTTTTCCATCAAGTCTATCACCTTTACCATTTCTGGTCTGTTTCCATTAACTGTTCACATTCTGGTTTTGAGTCATACTTTCCTGCCTTTTTTTTTTTTTTTTTTTTTTTTTTTTTTTTGAGTCGGAGTCTAGCTCTGTCACTCAGGCTGGAGTGCAATGGCGCGATCTTGGCTCACTGCAACCTCCGCCTCCCAGGTTCAAGCAATTCTCCTGCCTCAGCCTCCCGAGTAGCTGGGATTACAGGTGCCCACCACACGCCTGGCTAATTTTTGTATTTTTAGTAGAGACGGGGTTTCACCATATTGGCCAGGCTGGTCTCAAACTCCTGACCTCATGATCCACCCGCCTTGGCCTCCCAAAGTGCTGGTATTACGGGTGTGAGCCACTGCGCCCAGCCTCCTGCTTTTTTATATGTGTAAATTAGATGCCAGATATTATAAATTAATATGAGCAGTTGGACTTTGTTGCCTTTTTTTAATGGATATTGACATTTGTCTTGGCAGAACATTAAGTTAATTGCAGATCAGTTTTATCCTTTCAAGGCCTATTTTTAAGCTTTGTTAGGACAGCTCTATAGCAGTCTTTGTTCTGGGGATAGTTCATTCCTAGTACTAACGATTCTTTGAACATCTCTAAATATTCTCCCAAGTGTTTGGTGAACTTTCTCCTATTTGCTTGATAGAAACTCGAATGTCTCTCAGCCCTATGAGAGCCCTAGGAAGTGGTCATTTCACAGCTTACCAACAACTGCTCTTTCTCCTGCTTTAGAGTTCTACCCTATGCATACACAGATTTGTATTCAGTCAAATACTAAACCAGATCCTTACACAGATTTCTGGAGCTCTTTCTTTGTATAAGTCCAACCTTTCCATTATTGTTCCCCCAAAATCCTGTTGGCTTGGCCTCCCTGAGCTCTTATCTCTGTCTTCTTTAAGCAGCAAGACAATTAGGCTCTGCTTGGGTTCTCCCTTTCTATACTACACTCTGGTCCTGCTGCTAGGCAGGAAGCTCAGGTGTTTGTAGTACTTACCTTGTTTGTTTCCCTTTTCTGAGGGATCACGTTACTGCATGGTGTGTTGGCCAATGTCTAAAACAGTATTTTATAAATTTTGTATTGTTTTCCTATTTGTTTAGAGCAAGAGGGCATGTCTCAAACCAGTTACTCCTCATGCACTTTTAAAATAGAGAATAGTAATATTGTCTACTTAATATTTTGACTATTTAATTCTATGTAAACTGCATTTTACAAGAAAAGTGAAAGAAAAAGGTAATCTCCATAACTGGTAAGAGTGCATTTTTAGGATAAGCAATAAAATGAAATAAAAATACAAAATGTATGAATTATCATATAACTCTCAGGCTCCAGTTTGAGCTACACTGGGTGGAACTTTAATTAACAGTTATAAGGTTGTCCCTGATTAGAAAACAAATACTTATTAAAATGCAGGACTGTAATTAAGACACAGATCCTCTTTCCATATCCTTTCCTAAACCTTGGGTAGCTAATTCTGATGTAAAGAGTAGAGAAAAAATTCAAGGGATTTAGTGTTTGGGCTGGGGCGTGTATGAAAATAATAGCTGGAGAGAAAGATGAAACAGCAAACCATTTCCCTGAATAACAGCTCAACTTTATAAAGACTTCTAACTCATGTGTTGTCAATTTGCTTGTGTGATGCAAGAGTCAGGTGGGAAAACTCAAGAGGCTTAGGAGGCAAGGGTTCTACCAGCTCAGCACCATTCCAGTGCCGTCTGATGTCATTCACATGCCTCTTTCTTCAAGAACCCCTCTATATTTCATTTCTCTCTGTTTCTGCACTGCTGACATTTGAACCTCACATTTTGTGTGATGCCTCTTTGTAAAACGATGGTTAAAATGTAATAAATAATTTGGTGTTCGAGTAAGGCTTGAATGCCTCAAATCCTAATTGTTATTATGTTTCTTTATAAGGGTGGCTGAGAAGACATTAAAAAAATTAGGTAGAATAATACCAAAATATGCTGCACATATTAAAGCTATCATTTAAACACTATATTTTTCAATGAAGATAGTGTTATAAGTGATCATAAAGGTAATCTGCAATATCAAAATGACTAAAGTATGAATATTCTCTCTCCTATATCCATCTGTTTCATAGACATGGCTCTTTCCCTTCAAGCCATTCAGAAACAGGTTGTAGACCCCTACGAAGTAGGTCACACATGTGAACGTGGAGACCTAGCCTCTTAGGACAGTTGTCACGGTAGCAGAAGCTGAAGGTTTACATTTTTCTAGATTGTTCCTTTTATTACTGGATAAAAATATGCATATTGGTCTTCAACTGCTAAGAGAAAAATCCGTTTTATTGAACATAACATTCTGCCTAAATAGAAACTATATACAATAAAACTTAGCAAAATCGTACTTTAAAATGATGTCTGGAAGGCGAAAAGTGTACTGAAACAATGCCTGACAACTGAAAAGAGAAGATATTGGGGGAACACACTCAGAGAACAACATTCCCTAATTTGGTCATAATCATCTGTTTTTATGTGAAGGTGTGTGAGCTTTGAAATCTGAAAACCCTCATTAAACTAAACAGGCTTTCAGAAAGGCTCAGAGGCTTGTAAACTCAGCTGGAGCTTATTACAAGATCAGTTCTGTGTTTCTCAGAGGCTTTGTGGTCGTGAGTGCAAACATCTGAGATAAGTGATTTCAAGCTCTCTCCAAGTTTGAATCTAACAAAACTGGCCACTGTGAAAATATGGCCAACAATCCAGGCACTGGTCCTAAGCTCTTTAATTCTACCCTATGCTGGAAACCTTTATGCTGCTGTGTGTATCATTTGGCATTTTTGACCACAGAGCACAATTTACTGTTACATTTCACTATAAATTCATGGTTGGCCAGACAATGTGCTCCAGAGTAGAATAAATACATGTTTTAATGAGTAGCTGAAATGTGACCTGGCCAACGGGAAACCTAAGGAACAAAGGGTGCTTTTCCATAGTTGGGCCAATCACAAAAGGCAAGCAATACTAGAAACAAATTAATCCATGACTCAGTCAAGTGGAACAAAACGGAAAGAGAGACATGGCCCAATTAGGAAATGAAAATACTCGGCCGGGCGCGGTGGCTCACGCCTGTAATCCCAGCACTTTGGGAGGCCGAGGCGGGTGGATCATGAGGTCAGGAGATCGAGACCATCCTGGCTAACAAGGTGAAACCCCGTCTCTACTAAAAATACAAAAAATTAGCCGGGCGCGGTGGCGGGCGCCTGTAGTCCCAGCTACTGGGGAGGCTGAGGCAGGAGAATGGCGTGAACCCGGGAAGCGGAGCTTGCAGTGAGCCGAGATTGCGCCACTGCAGTCCGCAGTCCGGCCTGGGCGACAGAGCGAGACTCCGTCTCAAAAAAAAAAAAAAAAAAAAAAAAAAAAAAAAAATACTCTGCCAGTTTACTTTTGCTAAAAGGTGAGGATTCAATAAAAGTCCTGAAATTAAATTATTCTGGTCAATAATGGAATACATCAGGCAGTTGAATATTGCAACCTTCTCATTAAATATGATTCTCAAGTCATTTTCCAAGAACTCTTCCTTTCCACAATAATTAGTGACATGACTGCACCCCCTTAATGAGCAAAGAAATTTAAAAGGTACTTTCACTTTCTAATATAGCCAAAACACAACCTAAGTGTTGTGTCCCAGGAGTAGGTGGATGATAAGGACACATCGTGTGATCAAGTGTTCTAACAAGAATGCCTAAAAAATTGAGTGATAATGTCTCTTAGCTCCCTTGGTGGAGTGGTTCTAGCATTCAGCTGTAAGGGACAGTCCAAAGTTGTTCTGAAAGCGGTAGATCCTGAGGTCTACTGGATCATTTGAGAGAACCAAGACAGCAATCATAAACTTGTATTATTAACTTCTGCCCAGGAAATAAAACCATCCCCTTTTTAATCACCCTTACAATTTTTAAAAAATCATCTAACACCAGACTATAGAGATTTAAGTATATCAAGGAAAAGACAACAAATACTTATTGAACTGGGTGATTATCACGTATGTAGCAATATAGTTGTAACAACAAAAAATGTATGGGGTGGTTTAAGCCCACCAATAGCATTAACACTAGAGTTCCATTTAGAAACCACATTATAAAGTATAAATGAAAGGAAGAAAAGAGAAAGTGAATAATCCAGTATTATTTGGAGACATATTTCTGAAATTTCTTCAAGTTTGGGTACAGGCTTTTATTTAGTGATTTTATATCCTCAAAAGGAGGAACATGAAAAAGAATTGCACACTGTGACCACATAGCTATGTGTCTAGTTTCTGAATGTAATCTTAAGAAACAGAAACCAGAAAAATAAAAAAAGACTTTCCTTTTCCCTCCCTTTCTTTCACCTTTCTCCCTCCCTCCTTCACTTATGCCAATTCCCAACCACCACCACTCCCTGCCAAAGTAGGCAGAAAATGAATGATGTTCTATCATACAATAATTAAAAACCACCATCGAAGATAGGGCTTTGCTATCTCTCCTAGTGTCAACTTACACTTTAGATTCTTGGTTGAATTACTGAGGTCTCTGTCCAGAAAATCTGATTTGTGAAGATAAATCTGTAATACCTATTTTCATAAAGTATTACTTAAAATCTTTTACCTTTTTTTATTTTTTAACCCATCTTACTTTGTTATTTTCTGAGCCACGGGCATGCTGTTCAAATGCAGATAACTCAGAAAAATCACACACCTTGTAATGCTCCTTCTGTAGTTCTTTGTTTCACACTAGCACCTGCAATCACGTAACCTTCTGCTCCACAAGCCCAATGCTTCTTTCTTTCTTTCCTTCCTTCCTTCCTTCCTTCTTTCTTTCTCTCTCTCTTTCTTTCTCTCTGTCTCTCTCTCTTTCTTTTTTCTTTTTTTTTTTTTGGAGACAGAGTCTCACTCTGTTGCCCAAGCTGGAGTGCAGTGATGCCGCAATCTTGGCTCAGTGCAACTTCCACTTCCCAGGTTGAAGTGAGTGATTCTTCTGCCTCAGCCTCTGGTGTAGCTGGTATTATAGGTGTGTGCCACCATGCCTGACTACTTTTTGTATTTTTAGTAGAGACAGGGTTTCACCATGTTGGCCAGGCTGATCTTAAACTCCTTGCTTCAAGTGATCCTCCAGCTTTGGCCTCCCAAAGTGCTGGGAGTACAGGCATGAGCCACTGTGTGGCCCCAATGCTTCTTTTGTAAAGGAATGCCTAACACCAGGTGTCTACCAACTTCAGAAATCTTCAAGGTCCAAATTTAGAAACACAAAAGTCACTCCGGTTAGTCTTCTTCTCTACACTGTATTGACAAAATAACTTCCTTTTCTCATTCAAGACAAGACTTTAATTTACTCCACTCTGTTTTTCTAAAGGCAGGGCTAGAATCTGACCCATAAGCTATCTTCTGCTTAGACCTCTCTTTTTTTTTAGCCACTCTCCTTTCTATTGAGTTCAAAATCTGATTGTTTAAAAAACGGTTTTCCTTCATAATTTTAAATTTGTACCTTAACTTTATCCCATCTATTTGAATTACAGCAAAAATAAAATAAAATAAATGGGAAAAGATATCTAAGACAAAAAAGAATATATCTAATTAAAGAAAAGTCTGCCTGGAATCTTTTGAAATTAAAGTTTTGAATGTGAAATGGCAGATTTTGGCTATGAGATTCTAAAGTTTGTTGTCCTACAAGATATAGAAATACACATATAACTGGAACTCGCTTAACCTTTGGGGAATAAAGCTAGACTATAAATCCTCCTTCCTTGGGCATATAAATATATTGATGTTGTGTATCAAGTATTGCTAAAGAAGTCTAATAAGCTACAGGTTTCTCTTTAAGGCAGATGTGACTCAGTGAGATACTTAATGGTTGGCAAAAACCTTCTTTTATTTTAATTTGAATAACATGTCATCTATTAAGATAAAAGCAATAAGATATGACTTAATAAATCATTAACTCTAATGCAGCAATTTCTGTGTATAGACTTCCTGGAGGTAGTTTAAATCATTATTTTGTTGTATATAATTTTTAAGTTTTAAAATAAATGTTCATATCAAGCAATTACAGGAGGTAATAATCAATGAGAGCCTCACTATTGTTGTGTAAAAACATATTATCTTGCATTATACCTTGACAGATTACTAGTTAGTGATAGCTATTAGAAGTCTTAGTAGACACTTTGAAATTATTCACACAACAGTAATTAGGCGTGTGGATGTGCAGCTTGGAAATGAAAAAAATGTACTTCACACTTCACACTATTTGTCTCACTCTGAATAAAACTGTCACTATAGCACAATGAAGATTTTTATATTTCATAAAGGCTAAATGTTTATTACTTTAACAAATTAAAAATAATAGACACAGGTACTGAACAAAATGAAGGCTATGACAGCAACTAAAAAAGTTTAACCAAAAGTTAAGAATCATTAACTTTAGAGAAGAAAAACTCATTTTAGAGATGAGTAAGTTGATGTCCAGAACATATTAAGGAATATTTTCAAGGTGACAGTGGTAGGTAGTGCCAGAATAATAGCTAAGAGCTAGTCTCTTGAATTTTACTGCTTGATCTTTCCTCTCAGTTCTGCTTCTCTTAGAAAGGAAAGACAGAAAGAATGGCCAAATGTCCAGCAAACAGTGATTCAGAACTGAAATCCCTGAGCACTTTTCTTTACCAGAAAGCCCTGGACCCAGGCTTTTGGATTTTGAATAAAACCAAAGTAAATGATTTAATGAGCTTTGTAGCAGCTGTTCCTGGCTATCTTCAATTCTACTATTTGACCCAGCAATCCCATTACTGGGTATATGCCTAGAGGACTATAAAACATTCAACCACATAAAGACACATGCATATGAATGTTCATTGCAGCACTATTCACAATAGCAAAAACATGGAATCAACCTAAATGCCCATCTATGACAGACTGGATTTTTAAAAATGTGGTACATATACACCACAGAATATGATGCAGTCATTAAAAAGAATGAGGGCATGTCTTTTGCAGGACCATGGATGGAGCTGCAGGACATTATCCTTAGCAAACTAACACAGGAACAGAAAACCAAATACCACATCTTCTCACTTATAAGCGGGAGCTAAATGATGAGAACTTAGGGATACAAAGAAAGGAACAACAGACATTATTGGGGCCTAATTGAGGGTGGAGGGTAGGAGGAGGTAGAGGAGCAGAAAAAAAATAACGATTAGGTACTAGGCTTAGTACCTGGGTGATAAAATTGTTTATACAACAAACTTTCATAACACAAGTTTACCTATATAACAAATCTGCACATGTACCCTGGAACCTAAAATAAAAATTAAAAAATAAATAAAGTTCACCGTGAATATTATCATAATTAATGTTTATAAACTTGCCTCTCAATCATATTTCTATATTTTACACGTTTAGGTATACATATATGACATATGTCATGTGTATATACTTGCATATATACTTATACCTGTTTGTATGTTTATTACTTCATTGACTACCTCCCAGAACCACTGCAGAGATTAGATGAACCAACATATGTAAAGTAATTACTATTGGCCCAGACTCATAGCAAATGCTTTATATATGTTCGTTGTTGTTATTATAAGTAGCCATGACCTTGAGAAGTTCTTCTAGGCCACTCTGTTCTAGTTAAAAAACGTCAGATAAGGAACGACACAGACACATACATCATGCACACTCAGTGGTCTGCAATTTCTGCTTGCCTTCTATAACTTCAATACAGCTCCACATGATTTCTAATTGGCTCTACCTAAGTCCTAAAAACTAAAAAGGCTAAAAACTAAGGTTTTCTTAACTTCCATTTTGTTAATTTTACTGACACTTATATTCATTATATCTATATATCTTGTTTTTCCTCAAAATTAACCTATATTCAGTGACAAACTGATTTTTTTTAAAAAAACTCCCTTTCTTTGATTAATATTATGACATTTTTACATTAATTCCATGTATTGTGCTAGAATCAAGCAAGGGCCATGGATTTGGATGCTGGCATGGATTCAGTGGAATTCCATTGTTCTGACTGTGCTACAAATGATCCTTTGGTTCCAAGGACAAAAATCTCATTTCCCAAAGCCAAATCCCCAAGGAAGTGGTGTATTTCTTTCTTCTTTGTACTGATAAGTGGACAGTGCATCTGATTTAAAGGATCAAAATCAAAACAATTTCTCTCATTTACTTTGATGTTCCTTGAGATAGGAAAGAATTTCTTCTCCCCTTGTAAAATGCTGTACGGCTTCTGGAAAAAAATGCTGTAGCATGCAGGAGAGGAAAGGAGAGCCAAAGACAATAAAACCACCTGCCACCCCAACATTAGTGACGTTTATTATTTTGGTCTTTCCGTTCACTCCCAAGTGGCCAGATGTCCTCAGCTGAACTGACGGCCAATAGCAGATTTTGGACTCGCCTACAAAGACCTTTCTATGCTTGTATTAAAAGGGTATCTGCAAAGGTTCTATGCGTATCTGTGATGTTTGGGATCTTGATTCAGGTTAGTAGGTCATAGAGAAATGTATCATACTTCCAGCAAATCTGACTAATGGTCTGTTGCTGTCTCTCTTAAAGGCAGATATAATTTACAAAGACTAAATCTAAAGAACAGTAAAAAATAGCAAGTTACACTTGACCCCATGAAAGGCTGAAATAAAAAATGAGATATTGAGGAAAAAATCTATAGATGTTCATGTTCTTTGCTTTAGGATACCGTAAAAAATGAGTATCAAGGTAAAATGTTATACTGTGACTATGCATAAAATAATCGCTTTCATTTTTCATGCATATAATCGATCAATATATATCTATGCTAATATGAAATAACTTCAATTTTGTTAGAGAAACAATGGCAGCTTACCTACTGAGAGCTAGATAAATACCTTGTCACATAAGTTATTCAGTACAAGTTTGTATCTTCATTTTATTGGATAACTGGGAACACAGTAGTAAACAATACAAAGAGCCCTCACCCCCATGAAGGTCTGAGATATGCCTAAAATTCTTGAGTTTCATGGGATTGTCACAGTCAATCCCCAAAAAGCTAACATCCTGACATTCTTCATCCTGCTCCCTTTATATTTCTGTAATCCAATTTGCTTATAATCACAAGACTATAAAGGAGTCAGAGTGAGAAATGTTTTAAGCAAGATATTTTGAGAGGAGTTTCTTTGCCTTTAAAAAAGGGCAGAACAAACTTTTCTTGAGGGAAATCTAGTTTACACTCAAGGTACCTGAGAAATCTCAGCTTGTGAATAGGCCGGTAACTAGAGGTTCTCAAAAATCTTTATTGTATTCTAGAAGAAACTGGGAGCGCAGAAGAGGCTAGCTGCATGAGTGTGTCATTTCATCTAGATTCAGTCACTGCACTAATTCACATGCCTTTTCACTGGAAGGGAGAGAAAGGGTATATATAAAAATTAAAACTGAAACATTTGAATTAAACATGGTATTTTATATATATATGGAGAAAGAGAGAGAAAGCTAGTTTGAACACAGAGAACCAAGCAGAGAACCAAAAAAAATTTTGATGTCTCACTCTAAATTCATAGAACATAAAATTCACTAGTGGAGACAAGAACATGTTAGGAAACAGAACATCTTGCCTCACAAAACTTCAAACACAACAATCAAAATTCAGATTGCAGACAAAACATTCAAGATATATTGCACTTCAGATTCCACCCCATTTATAGAAATACGCCTCACAAGAAGGATCTGAGTTTCCTGCATGCACGCTCCCTTGAATCGACTCCAGGCAGGCTGTCTGCCCAACCTCTACTCTCAAATCTCTCTCTTTAAACTGCCAATCAATGCCCTTCACATTGCCAGCTTCTATGGGTAATTCTCAGTTCCTCACAGACATTTCAGCAGCATGTGACCCAGTGGATCACTCCCTCTTTCAAACAACACACTTTCTTCTCTGGATTCCAGAATAGTGTATTCTTTTGTCTTTCCTCCCACTTGACTGGCTATCACTTTTTAGTCACTTTTACTGAACCCTCTTTTTCTTTCCAATCTCTAGATAGGTGCTGGAGTGTTCAGGACTCACTCTTCAGAAAGTTTATTTTCTCTGTTTATCATCACGCTCTTAAAGGATCTCATCCAGTCTCCAGACTTTAAATATCGTTTATACTCGGGTGACACAAATTTCTAACTCTATCATTGAGCCTCCCCTTAAAACATGGACTCATCTATCTAACTGATACACCATCTCTGCTGAGATGTATCTACAAGGTATCACATATTAACATGTTCAGAACAGAACTCTTAATTATCAGCCCCCACTGCCCCTCTTTGCTGCTCCGCATCTCAAGAAATGTCACTGCCATCCAGTTGTTCAGTTAGAAACCCTGGATTTATCTTTGAATTTTCTTTTTCTCTCTCACATATCTAATCTGTCAACAGATCTTGTTGCCTGTACATTAAAAGCACAATATACTCCAAATCCAAAGTTTGTCACCATCTCTACTGCTGTCTCCCTAGTCCAAGCCACAACCTCTCCAAAACCTGAATTAACTGCACAAGCCACCTGCCCCTACTCTTGCCCCCAGCAATCTACTCTACAAAGAGGAATTGGAATCATTCTTTTTATTAAAAAAACAAAACAAAACAGAATTTCACCCTTTTTGCCCAGGCTGGGGTGCAATGGCGTGATCTCAGCTCACTGTAGCCTCTACCTCCCGGGTTCAAGTGATTATCCTGCTTCAGCCTCCCGAGTAGTTGGGATTACAGGTGCCCGCCACCATGCCCAGCTAATTTTTTGTATTTTTAGTACAGATGAGGTTTTACCATGTTGCCAAGCTGGTCTTGAATTCCTAGCCTCAGGTGATCCACCCGCCTTGGCCTCCCAAAGCGCTGGAATTACAGGCATAGCCACTGTGCCTGGCATGGAGTCATTCTTCTAAACATGTGTCAGATCAAAGCCCTCCAACAGCTTCCCTTCACACATAGAATCATCCCAAAGTCAACCAGAGCTCATAGGCTCTCATCCAAACTATTACATCGCCACCTCATCTTCTTCTACCTCTTTTCCTCCACTCTGGCCTTATTACTGTTTTTCAAATAAGCAATTCCACCTTAGGGCCTTTGTGCTTGTGGCTCCTCCACCACCCCGGGATTGCAATATGCTTTTCCTCTATATTCACATGGCTAATTCCTCATTTTGCTCGTGTCACCTCCTTAGAGAGGCTTTCCCTGACCATCCACAAGGAATATAACAGTTCCTCTTACTCATATCTGTTGTCCTGCTTCCTTTTAATCAGATAAGTCATCACCACCTACACTTCTATGATATATCTATCTTTTTAAAAAAGAATTCTGTCTCTTAACTCAAATATGGGTCCATTAGAGTGGGGACTTTTTCCATCCTAGTCACTGTTGTATCCCAAGAGACTACAACAGTGTCTGGTACACCGTACATGCTCAGTATACATTGTTGAATCAATAAATGAACGAATAAGTCACAACGTGAGCTGTTTTATCTCACAAAGTATTAAGGGAATTAGTTAATCATTATTGTTATTATTTTTGAGATAGAGTCTTGATGCATCACCCAGGCTGGAGTGCAATGGTGCAATCATAGCTCACTGCAACCTTGAACTCCTGGGCTCAAGCAATCCTCCTGCCTCAGCCTCCTGAGTAGCTAGGACTACAGGCACATGCCGCCATGCCCAACTAATTATTATTATTATTATTATTGTAGAGACAGGGGGTCTCACTATGTTGCCCAGGCTGGTCTCAAACATCTGGCCTCAATGATCCTCCTGCCTCGGCCTCCCAAAGCACTTGGATTACAGGTGTGAGCCACCTGCACCCAGCCCATTTTTTAAAACATTACCAACCAAAGCAACACTGGAAACAGACTAATGATTTATCAATGGAGGGTTCAGGCTCCTTGTATCTGGAGACATTTTAAGAAAATGGTATCTAACTATCTATAGGTTTGAACAGATTATCTCTCTTCCTATTCCAATTCCACAATTAAAACATTTCAATGACCTGTATTTACTGGGACGGTCCGTTCCCCTTTGACTCTTAAAATAAAAGCAGTATTTATTTTTAGAAATCAGGATTTCCTTTCCTACAGAGGTTACAGCTCAGACACACTTGAGCACTGAAATGTTTACGATGACTTTGGGAGACTACTCACACTAAAGCAGCACACTTCCCCAGTGTGGAACCTCCAGGTCTCTGAGGGCCTAATTCTCATTTTTGGTGCCACTGTGGGAATTTCCTTCCTTGCCTTATCAGAGTATCTTGACCTTACCCCTCTAGAAAACTTTAGTTAAGCAGGGAAAACTGAATGCGCTTATTCCTAATATCAATAGATAACCACACCAACTTGGCTTGGTTCACCTTGCTAATTTATCTACTACCACCTGCCACTATCCCCTCAGTCACTCTTCTCCAGAACCTTCAACCACCAAGCACCTGGCTTCATGGCTTTTGTTCTTACTGTTACCTTGGCTTGGAACATTCTTCCACATAAAAGTCCACTGGTACACACTGTCATCTGATTCAGGTTTCTGTCTAAATATCCTTCTATTATTTATCTCATTGTGTGTGTACATATATACACACACACACACACACACACATAATCCCTCTACTCATTAACATGTGAGCTCACTTGGGGAGCGACTGTGTGTGTGCTTTGGTTCATTACTGTATCCCCAGTACCCAGGCTCAGAGCAGACAGTCAATAAACAGTCATCGAATGAATGCTCAATAAGTAGCTAGCATATTTTCATCATCCCTTCCCAATTCTGTTCATTATTCAGTGAACGAATTTTCATTTAATTCAGAACCTACTAAAAGCAGCCTATTTTGATACCAACATTAGAATATAACTTCCTTTCTCAGTTATAAAATGATTCACTTTATTGATTTGGAGAATATGACTGGAATGCAAATAAATATTACTCTCAGCTAACAAATATTAATATATTTTATTAATTTGTAAATTGACATATTTTAAGCATCTGTGATTATGTTTCACTACTTCTCTGGAATAATTTCCTAATTTTATTCTACAAGATTCTATCGGCAACATACTGTAAGTAATTTCAACGTAAGTAGCTTTAAAACGTTATATTAAAAATTTACAAATCCTTAGGATGTTCCTAACCCAAAGAAATGATATATGCTTGAGGTAATGTATACCCCAATTACCCAAATGTGATAAGTACACATTATATGCCTGTATGAAAACATCACATGTGCCACATAAATATATACACCTCCCACGTACCCATAAAATTAAAAATTAAAATTTTAAAAATAAGGTACCCATTAACAGTGCTAGGATGGCTCTAACAATAATAAAAACAAAAAGGGGAAAGTAACAGGTATTAGGATGAAAAGAAGTTGGAACACCTGTACATTGCTGATAGAAGAGTAAAATAGTTCCAACCATTATGAAAAATAATTTGTTGGTTTCTCAAAAAGTTAAACATATCATTACCATATGACCCAGCAACTCCACTCCTAGGTATATACTCAAAAGAACTAAAGACAGGCACAAAAACAAATACTGCACACACATGTTCATAGCAGCACTATTCACAATAGGCAAAAGGTAGAAATAGCCCAAATGTCCATCAGAAAATAAATGGATAAGTAAATTATGGTATATACATACAACGTAATATTATTCAGCTATAATAAGGAATGAAGTACTGATCTACACACTACAATGTGGATGAACTTCAGAAACACTAGGCCAAGTAAAATAAGCAAGATAGAAATGTCAAAAAATTTACAATTTTTCCTTTTTTTACTTTATTAATTAATATATTTATTTTGAGAGCCCAGTCTCACTCCATTGTCCAGGCTGGAGTGCAGTGGCACAATCTTGGCTTACTGCAACCTCTGTCTCCTGAACTCAAGCGATTCTCATGCCTCTGCCTACCGAGCAGCTGGGATTACAGGAGCCCACCACTACGCCCAGCTAATTTTTGTATTTTTAGTAGAGATGGGATTTCATCAGGTTAGCCAGGCTGGTCTCAAACTCCTGACCTCAAGTGATCCTCCCACCTCCGCCTCCCAAAGTGCTGGGATTACAGACGTGAGCCACCACGCCCGGCCAAAAACTTTACGATTTTTCTTAAATAAATATCCAAATGCACTCAATATACTTTTTGTAACATGTGTGTGAGCACCATGCAATCTCACTGAAGAATTATTATTTGCAATATTTTCCCAATAGAAAATATTCTGATTCGCAGCTATAATTTATTGAATGTATGCAATGTGCTATGGTTTGGGATTTCAAAATATTTGGGGAAAAATAAAGTTAATGTCTACAACCAACCAAAATGTATGCTAAATGAATTAAATATAAATAGCTAAATAAATAAATTAGAAATATGAATTTATTTATCTGATTGGTGAAAGTCTTTTCAAA
The DNA here is from genome assembly GCF_000001405.40 of Homo sapiens. Lineage (NCBI taxonomy): Eukaryota > Metazoa > Chordata > Mammalia > Primates > Hominidae > Homo > Homo sapiens. The sequence continues at coordinate 29,748,363 of NC_000014.9, forward strand.
TCACATAAGCCAAGAAGCCTTCTGGTTCAAAATTGCAGATGAAGCATAAACATTAACCTTTCATCATTTCCACGACTGAAACAACAGTAAATTACAAAGGGAATTAATCCGTATCACCACTGAAGTGGGAGTGGAGAGAGCTATCAACTGACCAAAACTTTTGATAGATATTAAGAACATGGAAATCTGATGGAATAAGATCTCACATAGGCCCTCAGCTCTTCTGTGCATATGTTTACTTGAAGCCCCGTTTACCATTTCCCTCAGTGTAAGCTTCCAGGAAGCAGGGATCTTGTCTACAACATTCACTGCTGTATCCAGCACCTAGGACATGCCAAGCACATAATAGGTATTCAGTAAATATTTGACAATTGAATAAATATAGCCATCAATAGAAAATTAAAGAAATAAAGATGAATCATCTTAATGTACCATGCCATCTTTAAAAGCCAGTACCTATCACATATTAAGTTTTCAATTAAAACATTCTGAATGAATGAGTAAATGAGAGAGTGGTGAAAAACGAAATCCTTAATGTTGTTTTGTCATGAGATTCCAGTAAGCAAAAATAAAATTATAAAATTATATAGATTTTGGAGTTCAAATTTTATTAAAAAACAAATGCACTCATAGATAAAAGACTTGAAATAAAAAATGTTAACTATAAGTATATGTAGGAGTGGGATTATAAGTAGGAGTGGAATAAAAAAGACTGTATTGTCTTTTATGCTTTTCTGCATTTTTCAAACTTTCCATTACATATATGTAACCCCTCTGTAATTAAGGAGAGGGAATAAGCTTTTGCACAACAGGACTTCATTCTGCTGTTATCTTAGACCTACTACACTATCTCTTCTCCCACTCTTCAGATAGCCAGTTCATACCATGTTATATGCTAGTCTGTAGCCCCATTCTTCAAAAAAGCATGAAAGAAGTAGGGAAAAAAGGAGGGGTGGTAAACCAGTTGTTACAGAGACAGGCAAGAACCCCAGGATAGAAGTTTTGTAGCCTATTCAGGTTGGAATATATGCCGGCTATGTCTGTAGTATGTGTGTGTGCCTGTGCTGGGGACGGCACACAGGGGTCACTCTTCCAGTGACTCATTTCCTACCAACATTTTGGAGTGTTCCCTCCAACCACAGCACAGTCACCAGCACCAAGATGCAATCATGGGAAGAATATGGCTGAGGCAGAGCAGGTCAGGCACATTTAACTCAACTGTTTACTTAATGGGTCGTTACTGATCCATGCTGGGTGTTACCTTCCTTATCCATGTGTATATAAATCACATAAAGTTGTGGGTACAGCTTTACATCTGTAAAGTTATTAGTACAGGGTGTGGTCACAGTAAAGTTTAATAAGTAACCATTGTTTTCATAATTATTATATAAGACAAGGAGATGATATTTAAAAAAATCAGTGACTAATAGATAAAACCCTATACCTCCAAAATCTTATTTAATCATAAATCCAATATTTATTTTCCTACTGCATGTGCAAGTTGCTTCAGAGAAAATGTAAGTTGCTGGCAGAATTAGTTGGGGATGTATGCCATACAAACATGAACATTTACACAGCAAAAACGTTAGAAAAATGTGTTCAAGATTATAATAAAAGAAGTATCACAGAACAGAGTCTGATGAATGGCCAAGGGAATTATCTCCTCCTCCTTGCTCTGAGTAGAACAAGGGTCACTGCAACACAAGTCATTATTTGAGGACTCTCACTCCCTCAGAGGCAGGATCAATATTCTATGAAATGTGAAACAAAGGACGTTTCATAAGAGGATCCATTCATTCTAGTAAAGCAAATTTGTTTAAAAAAATCAACTATGAATTTTTAAAAAATACTAAGTCTGCCAGAGCTCCAAATTATATACAGTAACTCCTCATTCAATGTCATTGGTAGGTTCTTGGGAACTGCAACTTTACGTAAAATAATGTATAACAAAACCAATTTTACCATAAGCTAGTTGATATAAACAAAACTTAAGTTCCTACAGCATATTTCTGGTTACAAAAACATCACCAAACTTCTAAGTAAAGATAAAAACACTCCTAATACTAAACATTGAATTAAATGCGAGCTATACATACATTTAAGAAAGATGAAGAAAAACAAGTAAGATATATATCTACCCAGTTTTTCCAGTTCAGGATCACGAATGGCCAGAGCCTATTCCAGCAGCTCAAGGCCAAGGCAGGAACCAGCCTTGGACAGGACATCATCCTATCCCAGGATGCATGAACGCGCGCACACACACACACACACACACTCACACTCACTCAGACTGGGGCCATGTAGACATGCTAATTCACCTAATGTGCACATCTTTGGGATGTGGGAGGAAACTGGAGTACCTGGAGAAAATTCACATAGACAGTGGTCCTGGCTGGGAATTGACTCCTTTTTCCCTCAAAATTACAATGAAATAATGTTGAATGAAATTATGTTATTTGAGGATCTGCAGTACTTTTGGGCCAGGAGAGTAGGAAATGAAGCATAGGAGATATTTGCAGGTAATTTAAAAATATGTATATTCCCATTCAAAAGATGTGTTTCCCCATGACGGTGGACATTTATTGTTGCCATTTTACATCCACTCCTCTTTTGGGGACTGGCATTTCACTTTTTTGTGGAGAGAATTACTCTTCCATCTGTTGTCCACTGAATGTAAAAACCTGGAACTTTGTTCTCTATGGTCAAGGTAATAACATGAACCAGGCTATGCAAATTAAACTCTGCTGTGTCTCTAATCCTTGAGCTAAGTGACAGAAAGGCATGAGAGGGGACACTGACTCAACTTTTGATCAATTATAGAATCCTAGTGTATTTTCAAGTCCTTCTTAAACACTGTTAGTTGACATATATCCATCAGGTATTTCCAATGCTTCTTTGAAAAAGCCTGAAAACTGCTATTCTAGTTTCCCAAAGTAGGGGAGGCCATGTGATCTGGTTCTGGCTGATGAGACATAAGGGGCAGTCTACAGCTGGCTTCTGGGGAATCTTTTTCCTTCCTGATAAAAAGATGAGGCATGCACATTAAGCTCTCTCACTGCCTTGATGCCTCAGCCTTTATTCAGAGTTTTATAAGGACATGATGTCTAGATGTTGGCAGCCATCTTGTGACCAAGAGGATAAAGTCAAGGGAATCAGAGATACCAACCTTGCAACTGAAGATTGTGGCACTGAAGAAGACACTCTAGAACCTCCTACCTACAAACTCCATGTGAAATACATTATGTATCTTTATAGTTTAACATTGTTATGTGAGCTTTCTATGACATATGGCTGAAGGCATCTACGATGGATTGAATATATACATGGCAGAGAATTATTTCTTTCCTGTATCCATATTGGTTCCCTTACCCTGTAATTTTAAGTGCCCTCTCACTCTGACTTCGAGATTGGCCATGTGATTTGCTTTGGCTAATGCGATATAAGCAAATATTCAAATAGAAGTTTGAAAAGCTCCACGGATTAGGTTTGTTTCTCTTGCTGCTCTTAAAACCTGACACTACTACGTAAACAGCACATACACATGTGTACACACAAATAAATGGGGATATTTTCTTCCAGTATTCAAAGTTGTAATTTAAGTGAGCCAAGAATTCACTTGTCACTTATGAACATTTGAAGTTCTGACAGAAATATTTGCTGTTTCCTTTTCATCTTACTTCTTAACATAAATAAAATTATCAACCAATAGTGATGTCAGAACTACACTAATTGATACTTGCAATCATAGGTTACCTACAGATACAAGATGTTAGAAAAAAAGTTCCCTGAGATATATTTAGCTATACAGAATTTACAATAAATGTGTTTCACATTTTATTAATATTTGTAAATTATATGCTACATACCTCTTATATCAATAAAATTTATAAAGAACATTTTTTTCAGAGAGTCAGTTGTTAAACACTTATTCCCTCAAGGGCCAGTATGCTGAGCTAGAGAAGTGATTCTTCCAGTTCTCCATTTAACAAAAGGATAATAAATTATTTTTTCCCTGACAGAATGCTGCTCAACTCTATAGGAAAAGAATGACATAACCAGTGGAAGTAGGTTGTAACTTCCCTATAAAACTGCAGGGAAAGATAAAGTAATGGCTGGAGGTGAAGTCAGTAGGTGGATTTCCACATACAAGCACTTTTTATTTGCATTCCTCCTCTTGAGTGGACAAATATTTATTATTATATCCATATATCTTATTATATATATATATAATTTCTGAAATGTTTGTACCAATTAGAAATAGGAATCAGATAACACTTTCTTATGCAAAATTCATTTTTAAGAACCCATGAGGGCATCACCAACTTAATATGATGAGGTCAAAGGCCAAAAAGTGATGCAATTAACACAGCGATTTAATTTCACTTTTCTGTTTGTGTGCAATCATCAAAGAGCAGCCTACGGTACATAAAAAAAGTAAAAAGAATATGTTTAGAAACGAACTTTTCTGATTTCCTGTTTTTTCATAACCTTTACTTTCTGTTGCTGAAATATGTGCATGAAAATAAGATAAAAAAACCTAGTAGTTTTTGCACTCCTACCACTTTCCTCCCAAAGTCATATTAGGAACAGAGTGTGGGAGGTGTGCAGGATAGTTCTGCAGGCTGAAGAAAATCTCTTAGTAGAAAGAAATGAGGGTATTGAAAGAGAAATAACAAGACAATAGAATTTTCAAAATATAGATAGAAAGGGGGAAAATGCAAATGGAAAAGCAAGTCAATATGGTTTAAAAAATTGAGAGAACCAAGAAATGTGAATGATGGTGTGGAAGAGGCAAATGAGATTAAAAACAGACAAAGAGAAAGAAACAATCACAATGAAACAAATTTTACAGAGCTGGAAAGAAATTTCTGCTTGTAAAAATGATGACAGTGCTGGGGTTTTTACTATGTCATAATGAGTATCCACTATCTGCAATGCTTGCCAAACCTTTACCTTAAACTTAAGTAGCTGCTTATTTTCTCCACATTTTTGGTGCCCCAGTCCTTGGGTGGCTCTATATGTGACAGTAACTCTAGGTAAGAAGTCAACATCATGTACTTAGGCTGTTTTTTCACACAGTATTCTTACATACTCTGCCTATTTGGGTCTACTTTTGACTTCTTGAATATAATTGAAACAACACGTTTGCCATTTCTGGCCAGACAGAACTCATTCCCCTTTCTTTTGCAAATGGTGTCTATGCCTACTCTATTGCCTTTATTTTTCTCCTTTATTTCTACATATCCTTTCTCCTCCCCAGCCCAGAGCAAGCCATCATAATGTTTCATGTGTATCTTTTGTTTGTATGAGTATGCATTTATTTTGATTTACATAAATACCAGTATGCAACATACCACTTTGTTCCTTTTTAGCTTTTGGAATGTATCCAAATTGCCATAGGTACATAAGTCCATAGCCTCTACCTGCTATATCATATGCCTTGATGTCTAGTATATTCTACTTACCCACTTTTTCAATGATGTACACCTAGATCTCTACTAACTTGCTGCCCAAACAATGTGGCAACGGATAGCCTGATGCATGCCTCCTTACGTACCTGTGTGAGAATTTTTTTGAGAACATACGTATGCAAAAGGGCTGAGTTACAGTATTCATTTATCTTAATTAAATAGTGCTAGACTGTTCTGTAGGATGATGGCAACAGTTTACACTTTTACCAGCAGTGCCTAAGGCTTCCTAAATACAAAACTCTTTGCCAACATTGGCTATTACCCAACTTTTCCAACTTTTTGCAGCTTAACTGATGAGAGATGACATGCCATAATTCCTTTAGTTTGCATTTATCTAACTACAAAATAATTTGAGGTGGTGGGCATTAAAAGTTTCTTCCTCTATAAATTAGCTTTTCATATTCATTGCTTATTTTAAGACATTACAAATAACTCCATCCATTTAATCACATGCTTATTAGTGTTGTCCACGCTGTCCTTTGATGAGCAGAAATTCTATAAGTGATGTCATCAAATTCATCAATTATGTATTTTATAATTTTGCTTACAAAGTTTGTTTAATATGGCCTTCTTCCAACTTCATTACCAAGGTGGTCTCCTAAATGGTCTTTGATTCAATTTACAATTTTAGCTTTCATATTTAAGTTTTTCATCTACTAGAAATACAGCTTTGTATACTGTATTAACTAGGCATCAGTTTTACTTTTTCCATATAGTAAAACAATTTTTCCAATTATCTATTAATCAATCTGTTCTCTATTGATTATGGTTTAACTCTTTATCATATATAAATTTTTCCTGTTTACATCAGTTTATTTCTAAGTCCTTTATTCAATCTCTTCAGTCTATTTCTCATTCTTATACAAGTAAAACACTATTTTAAAAAAGTTTACTATGACTTGGTATTACATCTTAATACTTAAAGAACAAATACCTCTGCCTTTCCCTTCTTGAGACTGATTCAGCTATTTGTGGAATTCTTTCATAAAATTTTTGAAGTTTAGTATTTTTTATCCAACTGATATTGAGATCAAGGTTCATTTAGGGAGATTGATATTTTTATGATACTAACTTATATCATCCCAAAAGCATGGGTAGTTTCTTCTTATATACATTATCTATTATATTTTTATTAGGGTTTTAATATTTCACACAGACACCTTATATAAATTCAATTATGTTAATTCCTACATACTTTATACTTTCTAGTGGTGTTTTTTCCGTTAAAATTTCTAGTTGATTTTTCCTGGTATAGAAAAATATTATTGATTTCTAAAAGTTGATCTTGGATCTAAGACCTTGCTTAACTCTTCATAGCTTTTAACCATTGATTTATGAATTCTGTGTCTGCTTTTTAAGACAGGTGGTCATTTCATCTGCAAATAATTAGAGGCTTATCTCTCCCATTCTGATCCTTCCATTTTTTTCTTTTTTAAAAGTGTTTTCCCATATCTACTACTTTTTTCTTGTTTCATAGCTTTAAAAACATGTACTAAATTTCTCCATAAAATATAAGCATTTCTCTAGGTTTCTTGTACCTCACATTTTCTAAATTAATGATGTAGCCTTCTATTCCTTTATTCCTAAGATACATTTTTCATTAACAGTTATCAAACCTGTGAGTCACAGGCCAAGTCAACAAAGCCAAGAGACAAACCCCGGCGACACAGAGTGCCGGAAAAAAAACAAACTTACCCCTGGTTGATACGGCTTTGTGTACCAAGATAGTCCCTCAAGAGACATTTTTCAGCTGGTTTCTGTCACTTGTAATCATAGGATTTCTAAAACTTTGCTCCTAACTCCTTGGCCTGAATAATAGATCTTTCCTGGCTCATGGGTCACTGCCCTCCAGCCCTCCAAAAGTTTGCCCTTTTTCTGACCAGAGAGAAATTGTTAACTTTGTAGCCTTTGCCTTGATATCAGAAGAACCCATTTTCTACTTGCTCTCATATGTGCTTAGACAAGGCACTGTATGCAGTAGCTTTGATCTCACTTTCAACTTTGTTTAAACTTGACTTTCTTTGGAACCTGTGAACAACCAGCTTTCTCTTTAGTTCTCTGCCCAATCAGCCCAGGCCACACAGTCATTGATTTGCAGGTAACATGGAGATTTACCTATTATCACACACATTCATCACTTAATTCCCATAGCTACTCCCCAATTGTGACACTCCTGTTTCATAAACCTAATGAGAAAGAAATAGGAAAAAAAATCATGTTTATATATAGTCATATCTATATCTATATCTATAAGGTTATACATATGCATTTTTCCTCTAGTAAGTTCTGGCACTCTCAATACCCCCATTGAGTTTCCAGAACATATGATATCATTTCAAAGACATATGACAGAGAAACAATGTTTAGATTTCCAAAAGTGACACAAACTGAATTTTAACTGTAACAAACTGTTGTACCAAGCTATGTTTAAAAACTTTACATTTAGAAACAATGACACATGCTGCCAAAGTCTGTTTGAAGTGTTCTTTCTCTGTACTATGCGTAAAGACTTTCTAAGTTCTTAAATCAAAATTTACTCAGTCATGAAGGTGTATTCAAAAATTTGAGGTATTTTGTGTGTGCATGTGTGTGTGTCTAGAATTTTTAAATATGCATGCATATTTAATAGTTCATCTCTACAATTTAACTTTTAAGAATAAATGCTATGTGTAAAAAAACACTAATGGCACAGCTAGCTCTTTGGAACGTTAAAGTAAAAAGCAAGACAAAACTCCCACCAGAAACTGCCCAGTGTCTGTCCTTGATCCCTCTTGATGGCACTAGAACCAGTGTGGACACTGGGTACTCATGTGTTTTCAGGAACAATGACAGTAGTCCCACCTGTGCTCCACAGCAGACTAGGGGCTTTGCTACACAATCAGAAAGTTCAAGGTCCTACAGACAGAGCTATGGGAGCCTGCATGGTTGCAAAGCCAAGGTGGTAGCCCCAGATTGGGGAATACAGTGTTTCAAAAATTATCTGAAAGGCTCAGGACTCCTCATATGAAATTGCTCTTTCAGTTAGCTATTCTCAACTTTATGAAAAGGGCAGAGTGACTGGGACCTCTTTCTATGTGTCTTTTACTCTAATATCCTCTGGTTAGAACAGATTATTTGTCTTTGGAGTAATTTATAAACTGTGTGTTTTTAACTTTAGATTTATTTGTTGGTGTAATTAAAAGAGTAAATATCATTTATTTGTAACCCAAAGTTTTCAGTGATATAATTAATTGTACTATGGGTTAAATGAATCAATCATGTGTGAATGGTTCTTAATAAATATCAGTAGCATTAACACATCATATTGCTAGTAATGGGAGCAGCTCTATACCCTGAAGGAAAAAATAACTGAAGTCTGTTAGCTATTATCACCATTCTCAGAGTCTAACACAGTGCCTGGCCATGCAGAGAAACATCATGCTAAACCCAAAGGATTCTGGGATGAAAGTTATTTCCTGCTTTTGAGGAGTTTCAAGTCTAGTGAAAGAGCTGCAGAGCCATGCAGCTAAATGCAAGGTGCCAGGGAAGCACAGATGCAAGGTACCTAGCCCCACCTGAAGGTTACATGGAGAAACTATCATCTCACCTGAGGTTTGAAGCATGACATGTAGCTGAGCAAAGAGAGAAGAGGCATGTGCAAATACATAGCAATCCAGGAGACTGACTGACGGTTCAGTATGCCTAGGATAAATCATATTGCAGGAAAATGGCAGGAGAGGTGGCTGGGAATAGTTCTGAGTGTCACAACAAAGACTTTGCATTTTATTGTGGACATAAAATTTAATTGGTTTTATTATGGACAGAAAAATTAATTGGTTTTTAAAAATAAACCAATTAATTTTTCTGTCCACAATAAAACCAATTATTAAAAACCAATTAAAAAAATAAAACAGGGCCTGATCATAGATGAGGTCTTTCAAAGACTGGTTTAAAGGGAGTGAGAATGGAGACAGGGGTGAATGGCAGTAATCCAAATAGGGAGTTTTGGGGACCTTGCCAAAGTCAGAGCCAGTAGGGATAAAGGGAATGGCAGCAGATTTGATATGGAGGGTGTAATGTGTACCAGGAAATGACAGAGACAGGACATCCTTCATATCTGGGGTTTCATCCACCAGATCATGTTGACATTCTCTAAAGCTGGGACTACAGGAGGAATAGCAGACATAGGGGAAAACATGAGGAACGGTTCTAAGGACCTATGAAATGCAGGACGCAAGATTTGTTTCCTGGGTGTGTCTCTTTCTGATTGCACTGCATGGAAGCCAGTAATTTTCTGCCAAAATTATAGTTTCCTAACGGAGTAAATAAAAAAACTCTCCCTACCAAGAGAGGGAGATTAAAGCATGGAAGAGAGAAAGAAAAAAAAAAAAGCTACTTCAATGAGTGGAGTGTGCATTGTGGAAGAAAAAGAGGGAAGTGGTAACCACAGAAGGTGGAGAGAGAATAATTATCAGCAGCAAGACTGAGCCAAACCTTAGCAACCATACAGACTTGATCGAGAGGTGGATACAATGAAAGTTTTCAAAAGCGTTTTGACCCAGGACACCCAAAACTAAAACTTCCAGAGATGCCTGGCAGTTCAGCAGGAGGTCAGAGAACTCAGGCACCTCTTGTTGATATAACGTAAAGGCCTGTTCTCTCCCTCTGAGCCAAGTTAGAAAGGATAGAGCAGGGCATATTTCACTCCTCTTTTCACAGATGTAGTCAGTTGGCAAATATATAACTAGAGAAGTTTAACTGAAATATCAGGACGTATTTATATCTTATTTGCAAAAGGTCAATTCTTCAATTGAGCTCTAGAGCACAAGAGAAAAACTCCACAAAGATATTATACTTAGTCTATACTTCATTTTTCAACCATTATTTTTAAATTGGGAGATTTCACATAATTGCTGATTTGTCTTCAAAAATTACAAGATCTGGCCACATAAAGCCCACCTTCCTCCATAACATGTAAAGCCAGGATTAGAGAAGTCCCTGTCTCCAGATGGAGAACATGCAAATTTTGGAGCCTCAGTCTATCACACTTCAAGAATTCTCTTGTCACATCAGTTATTTTCCATACTGCAAATATATTTATTTGGTATAAGCACATTCACTTCTACTAGAGAGTTTCTATACTTACGAACTCCCAATTTATTGTGTTTCATATATAAGAAGAAAGCTGTGCTCCAAAGCAGTAGTCTCTCAACATTTTAGAAACAGTGTCCGTTACTCACATGTGATCATTTTGGTCTTAACCATCATCAAAGCATTCCCTAGTCTAAGGAGACTGTTGTAACTTTGCTAGGTTCTGTGGTGTTGTACAATCACAGTTAACACATTATATTGAGATTAGGTGCATAGGCAGTGAGTGTGGATTAGGTGCATAGGCAGTGAGTGCTAGTAAGAAGAAGTATATTATTAGGACGCAAAAAAAAAAGAAGAGAAAAAATGAACAAAGAGAGTAATTGGGAATATTCCATGTGCACACCTGAAAGAGCATGTCAATCACCTGGTGTGTGGAAAGCACAGCACCCATGAAATAGATTCTAATTAATTTAAAAACAGCAATCTTTCTATTAGTGTGAAAGTAAGCTCACTCATTAAACTGGCCATATTGATAAATGTGCTAAGTATCTTCATACTTCAGATAACCTTAAACACTGTCATAACATTAATACAAAAATGTAAATGTTCCAGAAGCCACCATAGCCTGAGTAGTAACTACATCACTATCCCTCCACATTCTTAGCAGTAGTTTAAAAGTTGTGCAATTTAGTGATTCTTGGATTAAGTTTGAGTGTCATTTGAGCACAATGGGGAAGCTTCTATTAAAATGTGTAACAGTACTTTGATGCAAGAAATATGAGAGCTCACCAAGCAAACAGAAAATGTGAGAGTCACGGCACGGTGGCAGAAACTGGCATTGTGCGCAGTAAGTCATCAGGCTCATCTAAATGAAAGCCTTAGATGAAAGTGAAAAATCGTCAAATGAAAACTCTCAAGAGAGCATTCATATGGAACATTCTGTATGTATATTCTCATTTTGACTAAGGGAGACTGCATATCAGTCACAGGCAAAATATTTTCTATTTATAAAAGTAATGTCAACTTTTTCATATTCAGAGGTTTATGGTCAAAAGTTAAAATAGTCTGGCCAGCCATACCGTTGACTATAAACACATGCAAAGGCTTTAGAAATACAGAGCTCCCCATAGTTATTAAATAAGAGGCCACTGTGTCCAGTTAATGGGCAAGAATCATTGTTTACTATTTTTGTATGATGGCAGTTTTCAATAGCTCTTTTATTTTTCCTTTTAATACACAGCATTCCATTCAGCCAACTCTAAATTCCCTTTTACTCATATTGGAGAAATTGTTCTACATTCTAATTTGCATAGTCACTTCTTTATGCCAATAAAAAACCACACACATTTCAATCCTGCTTGTACCACTGGTTCATTAAAACAGCGTCTGGATTTTGAATTCAATTTCAGATGACACCTAAGTCTCACTATCTGAAATTTTCTCAACTTTTTTTTTTTTTTTTTTTTTTTTAAGGCTGAGTCTTGCTCCGTTGTGCAGGCTGGAGTGCAGTGGCACGATCTGGGCTCACTGCAACCTCCGCCTCCTGGGTACAAGCGATTCTCCCGCCTCAGCCTCCCATGTAGCTGGGACTACAGGTTTGTGCTACCACCCTCGGCTAATTTTGCATTTTTAGTAGAGATGAGGTTTCACCATGTTGGCCAGCCTGGTCTCGAACTCTTGACCTCTTGATCCGCCTGCCTCGGCCTCCCAAAGTGCTGGGATTACAGGCGTGAGCCACCACGCCTGCCTTTTCTCACCTTCCTAAACATACCAGTTAAAATGCATATTAATGAATTATTTCTGGATTACTACACCTAGTAGCTCCATTCTACCAGGCCTTACAACACAAGTCACTCCACTTTGTTCTTCAGTTTTTCTAAACCCTTTTAAACACATTTGCCTTGATAATAACAATCTTCCTGTTTATGTTTGGGTAGCTTACATTTATATAGTTATATAATAAAAGTTTATCCTAATAGAATTGATCATCTTAGGCATATCTTTGTCAGCCAGATTCTTTACGTTTTAGCCAAAATCTTTATTTTTTTCTTTTTTTAGAGACAGTTTCTTGCTCTGTCACCCAGGCTGCAGTGCACTGGTGTGATCATAGCTCACTGCAGCCTCAAACTCCTGCTGAAGCCATCTTCCTGTTTCACCCTTCCAAGTAGCTAGGGCTACAAGTACATACCACTGCACTCAGCTAATTTTTCACTTTTAATTACCATTTTATTCCCTTATTTTAAGCAACCAGTATTAAAATCTTTCTAATATAGAAGACATGCTTCCTTGCCCCCTTAAGTATATTTTGATAAAGATAGTTTAAATTTTGAACATTAGCTTGAACTGATCACAATGAACATCAACAATTACTGGAAGCAACACAGTAGAGCATTGTAAGAACAAGCATGTTAAAAGTCCTGAGTTCAATGCCCAAATTCATAAGTAACTTGGGACTGTCTGAGTCTTGGATTGCTTATCCACAAAATGTGAATAAGAGCACATTTCTCATTTCATTGTTGAGACTGTTAAATTACTAATAGCACTCAAATAGGGTAAGTTTGTGTCATTCATCTGGAAGGCTGAGGTGTTTTCAGTATCTGCTGAGATAGATGAGACTTCCACCTCTACTCTAGACAGATCCAAACCAGTGCACATTTAAAGTTCTCATGCCTGATGTTATTATTATTGTCCATTATCCTGTGCTATCAGCTGATTATTATCACTGATACACTTATGTTACTCAGTGGTCTAATAAGTAAAAAAGAGAGCACAGTATACAATTTTTAGAAAAGCATCCTCCCTGCATAAAGCAGAAAAAGTTCTTCCTTTTTACCCTTTAATAGGAGAAGTGGGTTGCTCTAACAGTGATGTTCTTTCTTTTTTTTTTTTTTTTTTGAGACGCAAGGTCTCAATCTGTTGCTCAGGCTGGACTGCGGTGGCATGATCCTAGCTCACTGTCACCTCAAACTCTTGGGCTCAAGCAATCCTCACACCTCAGCTCCCAAGTAGCTGGTATTATGCCACCAAGACTGGCTATTCTTTATTTTTCGTAGAGATGGGGTCTCACTATGTTCCCCAGGATGGCCTTGAACTTTGAGGCTCAAATAATCCTGCTGCCTTGGCCTCCCACAGCACAAGGATTATAGGTGTGAGCCACTCACTGCACCTGGCTCTTAACAGTGGGGCTCTTGAAAGAAGATGGGGGAAGAAGAGGTGCTACAAAGTAACTTAAGCCAATTTGGCCAATTGCAACTGTACAATTCTTTGGATAAACACACTAGTTTTATAGTATAATCAGGACACTATGTGTGTAATGAAATCAAGCTCTAGACTGAACTTGGCAACAAGTTCAAACACACATTAGAAAGTAGGCATAAATACTGTCATACTACCTATTACTATAGACTCTTGAACTCCACTCCCTTTGTCTTCATAGGCACTCCAGCCACCACTCTGCATGAAAGAGTCACCATTCTAGAAGGACCAGCTACTCTTCTAGTCAAATCAGAAGACAGGATGCTTCTTTGAGTGAACCCCCTGGAATTCTCAACTTAGAGGCTCTGCTCTGAAGGTATTAGCTATTCTACTTACAAGATTCTTATATGTCTCTCATGCAAAGGATGAAGGCACCTGTATAATTACTAACAGACAACATTCATCTCAACATTTAAGAATTATTTCTGACAACTATTTCACTAATAAATGAATTTCATGGTCATATTTACGTGACAATATTTGAAATGTCTTAGTGACCACTTCTAGATTGCAGACTCCCACTAAGGCCCTTCCTATATAACTCCCTATGCCTGTGGTGGAAAATAAACGTGTGCATACACATATATTACTATCTATACTAAGGTATTTTATTTTATCTGTGTTGCCCAGGCTGGAGTGCAGAGGCACAATTTCAGCTCATTGCAACCTCCACCTCCTGGGTTCCAGCAATTCTAGTGCCTCAGCTTCCTAAGTATTTGGGATTACAGGCACATGCCACCACGCCCAGATAATTTTTGTATTTTTAGTAGAGATGGGGTTTCACCATGTTGCCCAGGCTGATCTTGAACTCGTGGCCTCAAGCAATCCACCCATCTCGGCCTCCCAAAGGGCTGGAATTACAGGCATGAGCCACTGCACCCAGCCTATGCTAAGGTGTTTAAAAAGTAAATAAGAAGCACAGGAGTTGGAGACCTGGGCAACACAGAAAAACCCTGTCTCTAAAATTAAAAAAAAAAAAAAAAAAAAAAAAGTTAAAAATTATCCAGGCACATCTGCAGTCCCAGCTACTTGGAAAGCTGAGTTGGGGGAAACGGTTGAGCCCAAGAGGTTGAGGCTCCAGTGAGCTGTGATTGTGCCCCTGCACTCCAACCTGGGTGACAGAGCAAGATACTGTCTCAAAAAAACAAAAAGCCAAAAAAAGAAAAAAGAAGGAAGGAAGGAACGAAGCAAGGAAGGAAGGAAGGAAGGAGGGAAGGAAGGAAGGAAGGAGGGAGAGGGGAGGGAGGGAGGGAGAAGGGAGGGGAAGGGAGGGGGAGGGAGGGGGGAGGGGAGTGGAAAGGAGGGAAGGGGAGGGGAGGAGAGGGAGGAAGGGAGGGAGGGAAGGGTAAACACAGAAAAAGACTAGTAATAAGAAAGAAGAGAGGCCTTGTGATTGTTGTTAATGTTATGTTCCTGGTGGTAGGTGAAGGACAGAGAAAGAAAGGCAGAAGTAGCCTCAAGGCCAGGAAATGCTCCTATAACCTTGGGTGTTGCCCCAGGGTCTTCCACAGATGTTCAAAGTAACTGAGGATTTGGCCTGTGTCTCATAGAAGCCACAAGAAAGGATACTGGAGGGGGAACTGAGCACTTAAAGACTCCTCTTTTTGCAGCTGCAATTCTTTCTGCTCTCTCCTCCCTCTTTCCTGTGGTCTGTGAATCTACACAGAGTTCAGAACTAGCCGCAGCAGCTCCTACTTTATTTAGGATATACTATCTGTTTGATTTTGGCTCATCCTGGATCCAAAGCAATCCTGGCAGCCTAAATTACCCTTCCCTTCCTCTGATTTATTGATTATAATTTGCTCTAAATTTGTAAATTAGAATTGTCTGTATTATTTCTTTGTGCATGTACATACGTAAGTGTGTGTATATAGAGAGTTTTTTTTTCTTTTACAATAATACTTGAATCATTCTGCAGAAGAGAATCACCTGGGGAGAATTTTAAAAGCATACGGGTCTTATCCTAGAGATAGACTCAGTCAAAATCTCTGCAAGGGTCCCAAGCATTACTTTGGGGAGAATTTTGGTTTTAACGTACATGCTTGGTAAAGAACCATGGAAGAACTGCCAATTTTCAGTAATGATGAACTAAATTTTCAGAACAATCTTTCTCCACTGGAAAAAAAAATCTAAAAAGTACTATTTAAAAAAAAATAAATACCTTTAAATCATTGAAGAGTTGACAAGGTAAGAGGGAAATATTAGGTCAATACTGAAGGAAAAATTGGAAACGACAGAGGTTAGCTAGAATGGAAGACACCTCTCTATGATTCAATTTCTGCTGCTATAATACAATACCTAAGACTGGGTAATTTATAAGTAATAGAAATTTATTTCTCACAGTTCTGGAGGCTGGGAAGTCCAAGACCAAGGTGCAGCAGTTTGATGTCTGGTAAGGGCTGCTCTCTGCTTCAAAGATGGTGCCTTGTAGCTGCATCCTCATGGGCAGAAGGAACGGAAGAGGCAAAAACAAGCTAACTCCCTCTGACATGCCCTTTTATAAAGGCACATAATACTATTTATGAGGGTGGAGCTCTCATGATCAATTATATCCTAAAGGCCACACCTCTTAAGAGTTTTGCATTGGGGATTAAGTTTCAATATGAACTTTAGATGGAACAAAACCATTTAAATCATAGCAACTGCATTTGCCAATTCTGACAAATTTCAAAATTCCTGCGGATTTGAACTTTTACCTGGATGGCCTTACTAGTGGAAGATGACCAAAATTAAAGTCTCAGACTGACAAAGATTAGGGGATCTAATAGGAGATCACCCTGGTAGAAGAAAATATAGATTCTTTTTGGAATCCCAACATAAACTCAGGTACAAGTGAAATAGAATGAATTGGCGGCCCATTACTAAAACCCCCAAAGAAACTCAAGCCTTGAACTTGGTTGCTGTTAGACTCAAAGTGTCTCCAGGTGCCTGGCAGAAGCAAATATAGATTATCTCTGTGGGAGTGTACCTTCATTCTAGAACTCAACTAAATCTGAACACATATAACAGACAAATAACTAGTATCCAGAAGATAACAACAAAGGAGTAGTATCAAGAAGACAAAATCCTATACAGGATTTACATAAACACTTCACAAAAGAGGGAATCCAAATGGCAAATAAACACATGCGAAAGTGCTTCACTTGATTAATAATCAGGGAAATACAAAATAAAACTACAATTAATGAACACACCCACCTGAATACTTTAGTATCGAGCCTGAGAACAAGACATGCTGTTGAGAACTGAAAAACAGTCACTCTCCTACCCTTCTGGTACAAATATAAATGGGTAAAAACCATTTCAGAAACATTTGGCTTTTTCTTGTAAAGTTGGAGAAACACATATGCTATAGAAGTTCCACTCCTCCATATACCCTACAAAACATCATGCATGAGGAACATCAAAAGACATAAATAACAATGCTCATAGAAGCATTGTTGTTGGCTCAAACTGGAAACCACCCAAATGTCCACTAACAGAATGGATAAATATTAATAGATTTTGGTATAGGCACATGGTGGAATTTTATATAGCAATGAGAATAAACAAACTACAACTATAAACAACAATGTAAATAAATCATGATAGTAAATGTAAAAGCAAGTCATTAAAACATCTACAGTACGATTCCTTTTATATAAAATTCAAAAACAAGACCAAACAATATTATTTAGGTATGTACATATAGGTGGTAACATTTTTAAAGAATAGGAAAGGAGTTGGGAGAGATTATAACTGAAAAGGGAAACAGGAGAGCTGGCAATATTCCTTTTCTAGACCTGGGGGTGACTGCATGGGTTTGCATGTTATAACAATTTATTAAACCATACTTTCAGCTTTGTAGACTTTCCTGGGTATATGTTATATTTCACAGTGAAAACAATATTAGAAGAAGAAAAGGGAGGAACAGAAAGAGAGGAGAAGAGAAGAGCAACGACGAAGAGAAGGAGAAGGAGAGGAGAAAGACAGGGGAATAAGTGAGCTGCACTGAGTTAAATTCCAAGTTTCATGAGACTAGTGAGCCTTGAGACTATCTTTTCCCTTGAGTACACAATATCATATTGGTTCTTACTATACAATGCCTTTCAAGAAACCCTCTCCTTTGCCCACTGTTCATCATAGTCTTAATCTGGCTATTGTCCTGACTTTTGATTCTCCTTGATAGCTTTCTCAACCAGCAAATCCATGACACAATGCATGCTGGAAAGAGTATTCAAGGAACAGGGAAATAGGATATCACAGGACGACATTTGCTTAATGCAACTTAGCTTTGTTTAATCTTATAGACAGCATTCTTACAGGTATGATAACAACGTCAACTGTGGCTTTGTTTTCATGAGTATTGCCCACGAATTTCATCAATGCTAAACAGTGCTGATAATATGTTAATCAATGCCATGGTCACATAACTGTTCTCAACCTCAGCAGCAGAAGAAGCACTACCTGTAATTTATGTATGTATACTCCAATGGACCTAAATTTTGAAATATCTTTTTAAAATGTATTTGGAAAAATGTGGCTACCAAATATGATCCAATTCATAGGTTCTTCAGATTTTGAGATAACGCTTTAGAATGCAAAAAATGAGATATTCATAATGTGGAGCATTAATTCAGAATTTAAGATTATAGCTATTTGGGGGACAGAGGAACAAAACAAAAACTTTTGTTATAATATTTATTCAAATTGTTGCATATTCTCTGGAGGCACTCTGGTGTCACTCACTGCATTGGATTTAGAAATTTACTAATCACTTCCTGTCTTAAGGGACAAATTCTACTGAAGGTTAGGAATTTGTTTCTTCTCCCAATTGAATTGTTTTTTATTTATGACACACTCTCAAAAAAGGAATGGCTTATATTCCTTATCATGTGCAAATTTTGAAAGTTTCTTGTAGTTAATCTTACTACTTCTAATTGCAGGCCCCAACCCTCACCTCCAAATCCTGATTTTCATGCCGCCAGACTCTCCTGAATCTTTTCTTCTCCTACAACAAAAAACCTGTCCAGATTGTCTGCTCCGCTTGAACAATCTGCCCAGTTTCTGGAGTTCTTGTTTAATCTGTCTATAGAACTACAATTCTGAGAGTCTCCCAAAACTTGTGCAGTTAATGTCACCTAATTTATCTCTGATGAATATGTATCCAGCTTGAAAAATCTGAGCAATGATGACTTCAGCCACCCATGAGGTAGGATCCATAATCTATGCGGCTTAAATTATAAGGATATTAATATTAATGCTTATAAATAGTGTCAGTTGCCCCGTGGTTATACCTTTTGGAGCCATGCAAAACATCTCTAATCTCTCCACCTCATGCTGGTCTCTCATATATACATCTGAATAGGGTCCTATTTTCTTATTTTCAGGTTAAACACATTCCATTCCTTCAACTGTTGTTCAAAGGACATGGTTTTAGGATCCATCACTGGATTCATTCCTCATTCCATTTTAGCCAGTGTTCTCTTCAAACTAAAATGTTCAAACTGAATATAGTATTTCATATTTAAACCATGTTCCTATTAATGTGGCATGGAATAAAGACGATTTTAGCAGCAATGTCACATTGTTACCTGAAAATCAGTCAACAAACACCTCAGAATCTCTCTCTCAGGCACAACTATATTTTAAAGTGACTGATTTCACTTTTAAGTGATTGATTTCAATCACAATAATATTTTGTAAATGATAGATTTTTTAAAAGTTGTTTGGCTTTAAAACCAAACAATTAACAATTGTTGCTTTTGAGTTGCTTGAAATATTTATCTTCATTGTTTCAAGCAAGAGGTAAATAGGTTAACATTTATTATCTACTGTTTTATAACAGAGCAAACAAGTGTGTCATTTTAAAGATAAGAATTGACAAGAAGTGTTTCTAGTATTCACCTAAATCATTGATAAACTTCTGAACGGAGCAAGACCCAAGGATGGAACCTTGCTTGCAACATATCACTAGAAACCTCCCAGAGGAAGACACATTGACCCATTAACAGTCACTGGATGGGTTAATTTCACAACTATAAGAACTAAGCTAATCATTTCAAGCTTACATTTTTCCATCTACTCTGTAGGACTATCATAAGAAATTTTGTAAAAACCAATCCAAATTCACCAAACACATAAAGTTCCCTGCATTTCCAGTCAAGTTAACTATTTAACAAGAGATGTCAAGTTAATACAGCATGATTTGTTCTTGCATTTTTGGAAGCTAATTCATCCTCTATTAATCACTGGTACTTTGGTAACTGCTCATTCAGTTTCATAATATGTTTTGAAATTTTGTTACAGTTTGAGATTAAATTTACCATTCAGTAATTTATAAATTCTTCTACTATCCCTTTTGGAAAATTATCTTTAATTTCTTAGAACCTGTTCAGTTCTTTGAATCTGTAAAGATGACCACTGATGCTTCCAGGATCCCCACATGTGTATCTGGCCTCAAAACTGAACTACTTCATTGCCTACGAGTTCACCCACTATTTCCAAATATTTTAAGGCTTAGTATTTGTTTGTTGTTTGTTTGTTCTACCTCTGGTTCTTTCTCCCTGATTAAAAAAAAAAAAACAACCAAAGCAAAATAACTGAGTATTCTGCTTTCTCTTTGTCATCTACAAACACTACAAAACAGACCTCAAACATAAGCCTACCTTTTCATGGCCATGTTACTCTGAAACTGGGTTCAAAAGCCAGTTTTAAAAGATTTTCCCTCCTCTTGTATAACTATCCTTGGTTACATGCTTCTCAGGACTAGCATGATGTGCGTTATCCAGCATCCGGGAGCCCAAGTCAGGTCACTTGTGATCCCTGAACTTTACATTTCCTTCTGCCCACCCTACCACCACCCTCACATTCTGAAACAGAGCCAAATGTTAGCCTATAAGAAGGAATCTAAAAGCATTACAGTAATTTGCACAAATACCAGGAAACGACAGAGGCATCAAGAGATAAGAGTCCTGAAAAAAGTTAAAAAGACAGACATACAGGTCATGGGAGATTCATGTATCACCAACAGGAGAAAACCAAAACACGGTAGACCTATCCTTCATGGGACACACTCAGAGAGTAACTCCTCCATATGTAACACACTCTCTCTCTCTCTTTTCTTTTTTAAATAAAAGAATCCATGCCAGCCAGGTGTGGTGGCTCACACCTGTAATCCCGGCACTTTAGGAGGCTGAGGGGGGATGACTGTTCAAGGCCAGGAATTTAAGACCAGCCTGGGCAACATACTGAGACCCCATCTCCACAAAAAATTAAAAAATTAGCCAGGTGTGATAGCATACACATGTAGTTCAGGGAGACGGAGGCAGAAGGATCACTTGAGCCCAGAAACTTGAGGCTGCATGAGCTATGATCATACCACTGCACTCCAGCCTAGGCAGAAAGCAAGACCCAGTCTCCCGAAAAAAATAAATAAATAAATAAGAGAGAGAGACAGAGAGAGACAGTCCATGTGTGTCAACATTTTTATCCATGTGGAAAAAGGCAGCAGTTAACTATTTTGACAC
Organism: Homo sapiens; assembly: GCF_000001405.40. Taxonomy (NCBI): domain Eukaryota; kingdom Metazoa; phylum Chordata; class Mammalia; order Primates; family Hominidae; genus Homo; species Homo sapiens. Next base: position 29,769,667 of record NC_000014.9, read on the forward strand.
CCAACCCACTGTATATTTAGGAAACTAACAAACTATATACCACATACACATGCATATACACAAATATATTGAGAAACAGTGTATGGAATATTATAAACTCATATGTATGAACATAAACATTCAGAATTCAGACAACACATTATTAAACACTGTAGATGTACTTATACAATATGCAATAAATTATGTATTATAAATCATATACATTATACCTGCTATGATCTAAACGTCTATGTACTACCATAATTCATATGTTGAAACCTAATCCTCAATCTCCAATAGTATTAAGAAGTGGAACCTTGAGGAGGTGATTAGGTCATGAGGGTGGAGCCCTCATGAATGGGATTAGTGCCCTTATAAAAGAAGCCTGAAGGAACCTGTTTGCCTCTTCCACCATTGTGAGGATGTGGCCAGAAGGCGCCACCTATGAAGCAGAGAACAAGCCTTCACCACACACTGAATCTGTCAACACCCTTGATTTTGGTCTCTCCAGTCTCCAGAAGTGTAAGAGAATAAATCTCTGCTGTTTATAAATTACCCAGTCTAAGGTATTTTGTTATAGCCAACTGATGGGACAAATACAGATATTGGTACCAAGAAGTGGTGTTGCTATCACAAATACCTAAAAGCATGGAAGAACCGCTAGAAATGGGTAATGAGTAAAGGCTGGGAAAGTCTTGAAGTGAATGCTAGAAAAAGTCTACGCTGCTATAAAAGGACTAGAAAAAGTGATTCTGGTGAGGGCTCAGAAGAAGAGAGCTGCAGAGAAAAACCCCAGTCTTCTTAGAGATGACCTAAGAGGTCGTGATCAAAATGCTAGGCAGAAATACAGACGGTAAAGCCCATTCTGATGAAATCTGACAGAAGTGAAGAGTGTGGTATTGGAAATGGAAGCAAAGGCCATCCAAGTTATAAAGGGGCAAAAAATCTGGTTGAATTGTGTCCATGTTCTGGTATTTTTGTGTGAAGTAGAACTTATGAGAAGTGAAACAAGATATCTGGTGAAAGAGATATCTAAGGAGGTCAGGCATTGTGACTCACACCTGTAATCCCAGCACTTTGGGAGACCAAGGTGGGAGGATTACTTGAGCTCAGGAGTTTAAGACCACCCTGCACAACACAGTGAGACCTTGTCTCTACAAAATATAACAACAACAATAAAATTAGCCAGGTGTGGTGGCACGCGTCCGTGGGAAGATCACTTGAGCCCAGGAGCCATGATCGTGCCACTGCACTCCAGCCTGAGTGATAGAGTGAGACACTGTCCAAAAAAAAAAAAAAAAAAAAAGGAAAGAAAGAAAGAAAGAGAAAAGAAGAAAATTAAAGAAAAAGAATAAACAAAGTGTTGAGGGTACAACACAGCTCCTCTCTAAATAGTAACGTGAGAAGATAGGAACTATTCAAAGACAAAATTTATAATCAAAAGGGAAGCAGAACTTAAAGATTTGGAAAATTCTCAGCCTTGCCACATTTTAAAGAATGAAAAAGCGAGTTCAGGAGAGAATACCAAGGGTGTGGCTAAGCAACCCTTTGATAAAGAGACTGTTATGGTTCTGTGGAAGCCAGGTGCTGTTCATCAAGATGATGGACGAATGGCCCCAGCTGCATTTTGGAGAGCACTGGGCTGCCCCTCTCATCACAGGCCCAGAGTGCCAAGACCTGGAGAACAGAACTATGTCAAACAAGGGCTCTTGGGCACATGTATGACTCTGGCAGTTGCCGCCTAGCACTGCCTCAAGTCTCTGCCTCCCACATTCTGGCACAGTGCTCCTCAGCCACCCCATGTTGGCTGCTCTTCCAGTTAGCACAGGTGGTAAACCTTGGTGGTGTCTGTGTGGTGTCATCTCTACCCATGCACAGAGTGCACAAGCAGCAGGGGCATAGCTACATCCATCTAGATTTCAAAGGCTTCCTCGGACAGCATTGAGGCCCAGGTAGAGAGTCCCTACTTGGGCAATGCCCAGTGAAGCCATGGGAGTACAGGCACCCACAAGAACTCAGAACTGTAGATACAACTTGCATTCAACTCCAGCCTGGGAGAGTCATGAGTATGCCACTCCAACCCATAAGGGCTGTGCCCAGCAAAGTCATGAGGGCTGGAATGCCTGCAAACTTGAAAGCCTAACCCTCACCCCAGTGTGCTGCAAAGGCAGGACATGGAATCTAAGAAGATTATTCACAAGCCTTAAGATTTAATGTTTGCCCTGTTTTGTTGTGGACTTATTGCAACTTGTACTCTTTTCTTCCTTCCCATTTCTCCCTTTTGAAAGAGGAATATCTACCCCGTGTCTGTTCCACCACTGTATTTTCAAAATGCATAATTTGTTTGATTTCACAGGCTCACAACTGGAGAGAAATTTGCCTCAGGGCGAATCATACAATGACTCTCAGCCATATATGATTTCGATATTTGGATGAGACTGGACTTTTGACTTGTGAGTTAATGCTTAAACAAGGTAAGCCTTTGGGGGATATTGGGATGGAATCAATGTATTTAGCACGTGAGAAGAATATTAATTTAGGAGATGAGAGGTGGCATACTATGGTCTCAATTTTTGTGTCCCTCTAAAATTCATATGTTGAAACCTAATCCCCAATGCAACAGTATTAAGAAGTGAGGCCTTTAAGATGTGATTAGTACCCCTATAAATGAGCCCTCAAGAAGGCCTGTCATCCCTCCCACCAAGTGAGGATGCAGCTAGGAGACAACATCTATGAACCAGAAAGCAAGCACTCACTCAATTCCGAATCTGCTGGTGCTTTCATCTTGGACTTGTGAGCAATACATTTCTGTTGTTTATCAGTCACCCAGTCAAAGGTATTTTGTTATAGCCGCCCAAATGGAATAAGGTAATATCGTATGTACTTTATATTTTATATTTCTTTATGTGTATGAGTATACATTTTTCTTCCATTATCTGAAATGTTCTTGATACCTACTTAATGTCAATCACATTTTTACTGACATATTACAACTGCCTCTAGGTTGCAAAGCTCTGCCTAACATAAAATGTTTCATGACTGTACACATTAGATCAGCAGATAGAAAGTATTATACTTCCCTGCCTCCAAAGACTATAGAATTAAATATCTCAGGAATCTTAGCTTCTTTCAGCTTTCCTGCAAAAACGATGCCCATTTCTCTATTATCTCCTATATGTCTAACCTCACAATTTCAGCTCTCACACATTCCTTAGAACGCACAACTGATAACAAGACTCTTCTTCATAAAATTTTATTCCACAGAAATCTGAGTGAATACATTCTTTATCTTCACTTTATAGTGTCTAGTTGTTTTGGCTCATTTTTTGTTTTAATAATTTTAATTTTATTGGCACTCGGTGACTTAAGATTTCTTAGTTCTTAAATTTTCCTTTAAAATCTTAAAATGTTTGCACTGTTGAAAATATTTTAGAGGATCAGTAACAAACTGAGATACTTTTTGATAAATCCTTCTCCAACTATCATTTTAGACAACGCTTTTATACATAACTAGTTTTTAAAAGAGTGAAAATGGCCGGCTGTGGTGACTCATGCCTGTAATCCCAGCACTTTGGGAGGCCCAGGCGAGTGAATCACTGGAGGTCAGGAGTTTGAGACCAGCCTGGCCAACATGTCAAAACCCCACTCTACTAAAAATACAAAAATTAGCTGGGCATGGTGGCACGTGCCGGTAATCCTAGCTACTCGGGAGGCTGAGATAGGAGAATCACTTGAACTTGGGAGGTAGAGGTTGCAGTGAGCTGAGATTGTGCCAATGCACTCCAGCATGGATGACAGAGCGAGGCTCTGTCTCAAAAAAAAAAAAAAAAAGGAGTAAAAACAATGCAAAAACCATTATATTATGTAGGTATACACATATGACTCTACATGATCCATGAATTACCCTCAAATTTATTTTTCTGATGAGCTGTCTGTGCTCATCAGATCTGTTTGTTGATTCCTTTTGAAAATATAAATATATAATCTCATACAATCCAATCTTATTTGATACAATATTTCTACAGAAAAGAACACAGCAATTTAATCCAAGTTTTCTTTAGTTATGACCATTGCTAGTAAATGGATTTTTCCTATTTTGAGAGAATTAAATTCATAAGAGACTGCAAGCTGCACACGAGACAATGAAATGTACCCAGGCAACCTGGAAACAGTTCCAAAGTTACTACTTCTGGACCATTTGTTAATAAAAATAAGCGATTATGATCAGTAGTGAGTGTGACACTGTGGCTTCTACCCTCCAGGACCTCATTCTCCAAGTTAGATACAAACTAATAATACACATTCATTAAAAGCAGTAGAGCAATCAAGGGTTAAGTCTTACATGTCATAAACGTTGGATCAAAGAAAGAAAAGATCAGTTGAGCTACAGTATATGGGAAATGCCTCCCAGAAAAGACGATATCTAAATGGATACTTGAAAATACTGGGGTGTGGATAAGCTCATGGGAGAATCAACCGCAAAAACAAACACCTTCTCTGCACTGAAAGTATAAATGTGCAGGGCAATGACAAAAGACAGGAAGCTAGTGTGGCACCTGCTGGAGAGAATGAGATGCACTTGAAGAGGGAGGATGGGCACTACAGAAGAGTGAAATGGGACAAGGTTATATTTAAGAAATAATTTTATGGCTTTTTTCTTACTTCCTTTATTATTAAAACATACCTCCTGAAAACGTGTACATCAGCTGACTTTGCAGTAGTAGTAGCAAAAGTAAGAGGAAGAGAACAGAACAAGGAGAAAGAAGAGGAAAAGGAAGGGGAGGAAATCGGTGCTACCATTACTTGAACATTTTACCAATAATAATAATAACACTTACTGAGGGCTCACTATGACCAGCACCCTCCTAAGCATTTCATATGCATGAGTTAGGTACCATTGCAGGTGGAAATACTAAGGCATAGTACAGCAATTTGCTGGAATACAGAGTTATTAAGTGGTGGAACTGGAATTTGGGACACAAGTAGTTGACATTATTGTGCATTTTTTCATATCATTCAACTAAATTCCCACAGCAACTATACAATTTATAAGTCATTATCTTCATTTAAAGAGGAGGAAACTATGCTTTGGGGAAATGAAGTACCTTATTCATGGTCACACAATCTAATATGAAGAGGATAACGGCTCACATTTACTTCATTCCAAAGCTTCAAACAGTTAGGAGATACTAAGAAAGTGTGATTTGCATTCTTCCACAGGAAAGCAACATGATAATAGTGGTGCTTTATGAAGATGTCTGTGAAGGACAAATCAGGGGAGAGGTTGGAAAACCAGACTATTTACCAAGAAGTTGTAGTTATAATGCCTAAAGAGATGAGCAATCAGGTATAGCAGAAGTCATTTTGAGGCATAAAATGACAACATTTAGTAATAGTTTGGATAGAAGAGTTTGTATCGAGGGTTCCTAGTTGGAAGCAGCAGAAACAAATTCTTGTCTGATTTATGAAAAAAAAAATGAACTTACTGTGAATAGCTTATAGAACCTTGAGAGGACCGAGAGGTTCCAAGATGGCCGAATAGGAACAGCTCCATTCTATAGCTCCCAGTGTGAGCGACGCAGAAGGCGGGTGATTTCTGCATTTCCAACTGAGGTACCAGGTTCGTCTCATTGGTGCTTGTCAGACAGTGGGTGCAGGACAGTGGGTGCAGCCCACCGAATGAGAGTCGAAGCAGGGCGAGGCATCGCCTCACCCGGGAAAAGCAAAGGGTCAGGGAATTCCCTTTCCTAGCCAAGGGAAGCTGTGACAGATGGCACCTGGAAAATCGGGTCACTCCCACCCTAATGCTGCGCTTTTCCAGTGGTCTTAGCAAAAGGCACACCAGGAGATTATATCCCACGCCTGGCTCGAGGGTCCCCCACCCACGGACCCTCGCTCATTGCTAGCACAGCAGTCTGAGATCAAACTGCAAGGCTGCAGCAAGTCTTGGGGAGGGGCATCCACCATTGCTGAGGCTTGAGTAGGTAAACAAAGCAGCTGCGAAGCTCAAACTGGGTGGAGGCCACCAAAGCTCAAGGAGGCCTCCCTGCCTCTGTAGACTCCATCTCTGGGGGCAGGGCATAGCTGAATAAAAGGCAGCAGAACCTCCTGCAAACTTAAATGTCCCTGTCTAACAGCTTTGAAGAGAGTAGTAGTTCTCCCAGCATGGAGTTTGAGATCTGAGAACAGCCAGACCGCCTCCTCAAGTGGGCCCCTGACCCCCGAGTAGCCTAACTGGGAGGCACCTCCCAGTAGGGGCCGACTGACACCTCACATGGCCAGGTGCCCCTCTGAGACGAAGCTTCCAGAGGAACAATCAGGCAGCAACATTGGCTGTTCTGCAATACTCGCTCTTCTGCAGCCTCCGTTGGTGGTACCCAGGCAAACGGGGTCTGGAGTGGACCTCCAGCAAACTCCAACAGACCTGCAGCTGAGGGTCCTGACTGTCAGAAGGAAAACTAACAAACAGAAAGGACATCCACACCAAAACCCCATCAGTACGTCATCATAATCAAAGACCAAAGGTAGATGAAAACACAAAGATGGGGATAAACCAGAGCAGAAAAGCTGAAAATTCTAAAAATCAGAGCGCCTCTTCTCCTCCAAAGGAATGCAGCTCCTCACCAGCAACTGAACAAAGCTGGACGGAGAATGACTTTGATGAGTTGAGAGAAGAAGGCTTCAGACGATCAAACTTCTCCGAGCTAAAGGAGGATGTTCGAACCCATCACAAAGAAGCTAAAAACCTTGAAAAAAGATTACACGAATGGCTAACTAGAATAAGTAGTGTAGAGAAGTCCTTAAATGACCTGATGGAGCTGAAAACCATGGCACAAGAACTACGGGACGCATGCACAAGCTTCAGTACCCGATTCAATCAACTGGAAGAAAGGGTATCAGTGATTGAAGATCAAATTAATGAAATGAAGCAAGAAGAGAAGTTTAGAGAAAAAGGAGTAAAAGAAATGAATAAAGCGTCCAAGAAATATGGAACTATGTGAAAAGACCAAATCTAGATCTGATTGCTGTACCTGAAAGTGATGGGGAGAATGGAACCAAGTTGGAAAACACTCTGTAGGATATTATCCAGGAGAACTTCCCCAAACTAGCAAGGCACACCAACATTCAAATTCAGGAAACACAGAGAACACCACAAAGACAATCCTCGAGAAGAGCAACTCCAAGACACATAATTGTCAGATTCACCAAAGTTGAAATGAAGGAAAAAATGTTAAGGGCAGCCAGAGAGAAAGGTCGGGTTACCCTCAAAGGGAAGCCCATCAGACTAAGAGCGGATCTCTCTGCAGAAACCCTACAAGCCAGAAGAGAGTGGGGGCCAATATTCAACATTCTTAAAGAAAAGAATTTTCAACTCAGAATTTCATATCCAGTCAAACTAAGCTTTAGAAGTGAAGGAGAAATAAAATCCTTTACAGACAAGCAAATGCTGAGAGATTTTGTCACCACCAGGCCTGCCTTACAAGAGCTCCTGAAGGAAGCACTAAACATGGAAAGGAAGAACTGGTACCAGCCACTGCAAAAACATGCCAAATTGTAAAGATCATCAATGCTAGGAAGAAACTGCATCAACTAACAAGCAAAATAACCAGCTAAATCATAATGACAAGATCAAATTCACACATAACAGTATTAACCTTAAATGTAAATGGGCTAAATAACCCAATTAAAAGACAAAGACTGGCAAACTGGATAAAGAGTCAAGACCCATCAGTGTGCTGTATTCAGGAAACCCATCTCACGTGCAGAGATACACATAGGCTCAAAATAAAGGGATGGAGGAAGATCTACCAAGCAAATGGAAAACAAAAAAAAGCAGGGGTTGCAATCCTAGCCTCTGATAAAACAGACTTTAAACCAACAAAGATCAAAAGAGACAAAGAAGGTCATTACATAATGGTAAAGGGATCAATTCAACAAGAAGAGCTAACTATCCTAAATATATATGAACCCAATACGGGAGCACCCAGATTCATAAAGCAAGTCCTTAGAGACCTACAAAGAGACTTAGACTCCCACACAGTAATAATGGGAGACTTTACCACCCCACTGTCAATATTAGACAGATCAACGAGACAGAAAGTTACCAAGGATATACAGGAATTGAACTCAGCTCTGCACCAAGCAGACATAATAGACATCTACAGAACTCTCCACCCCAAATCAACAGAATATACATTCTTCTCAGCACCACATCACACTTATTCCAAAATTGACCACAAAGTTGGAAGTAAAGCACTCCTCAGCAAATGTAAAAGAACAGAAATTATAACAAACTGTCTCTCAGACCACAGTGCAATCAAACTAGAACTCAGGATTAAGAAACTCATTCAAAACCACTCAACTACATGGAAACTGAACAACCTGCTCCTGAATGACTACTGGGTAGATAACTAAATGAAAGCAGAAATAAAGTTGTTCTTTGAAACCAATGAGAACAAAGACACAACATACCAGACTCTCTGGGACACATTTAAAGCACTACAAATTTATAGCACTAAATGCCCACAACAGAAAGCAGGAAATATCTAAAATTGACACCCTAACATCACAATTAAAAGAACTAGAGAAGCAAGAGCAAACACATTCAAAAGCTAGCAGAAGGCAAGAAATAACTAAGATCGGAGCAGAAATGAAGGAGATACAGACACAAAAAACCCTTCAAAAAATCAATGAATCCAGGAGCTGGTTTTTTGAAAAGATCAAAAAAAATTGATAGACCACTAGCAAGATTAACAAAGAAGAAAAGAGAGAAGATTCAAATAGACACAATAAAAAATGATAACAGGGTTATCACCACTGATCCCACAGAAATACAAACTACCATCACAGAATATCAAAAACATCTCTATGCAAATAAACTAGAAAATCTAGAAGAAATAGATAAATTCCTGGACACATACACCCTCCCAAGACTAAACCAGGAAAAAGTTGAATCCCTGAATAGACAAATAACAGGCTCTGAAATTGAGGCAATAATTAATAGCACACCATCCAAAAAACGTCCAGGACCAGATGGATTCACAGCCGAATTCTACCAGAGGTACAAGGAGGAGCTGTTTCCATTCCTTCTGAAATGATTCCAATTGATAGAAAAAGAGGGAATCCTCCCTAACTCATTTTATGAGGCCAGCATCATCCTGATACCAAAGCCTGGCAGAGACACAACAAAAAACAGAATTTTAGACCAATATCCCTGATGATCACCGATGCAAAAATCCTCAATAAAATACTGGCAAACTGAATCCAGCAGCACATCAAAAAGCTTATCCACCATGATCAAGTGAGATTCATCCCTGGGAAGCAAGGCTGGCTCAACATATGCAAATCAATAAACGTAATCCAGCATATAAACAGAACCAAAGACAAAAACCACATGATTATCTGAATAGATGCAGAAAAGGCCTTTGACAAAATTCAACAGCCCTTCATGCTAAAAACTCTCAATAAATTAGGTATTGATGAGACGTATCTCAAAATGATAAGACCTATTTATGAAAAACCCACAGGCAATATCATACTGAATGGGCAAAAACGGGAAGCGTTCCCTTTGAAAACTGGCACAAGACAGGGATGTCCTTTCTCACCACTCCTATTCAACATAGTGTTGGAAGTTCTGGCCAGGCAATCAGGCAGGAGAAAGAAATAAAGAGTATTCAATTAGGAAAAGAGGAAGTCAAATTGTCCCTGTTTTCAGATGACATGATTTTATATTTAGAAAACCCCATCGTCTCAGCCCCAAATCTCCTTAAGCTGATAAGCAACTTCAGCAAAGTCTCAGGATACAAAATCAATGTGCAAAAATCACAAGCATTCCTATACACCAATAACGGATAAACAGAGAGCCAAATCATGAGTGAACTCCCATTCACAATTGCTTCAAAGAGAATAAAATACCTAGGAATCCAACTTACAAGGGATGTGAAGGACCTCTTCCAGGAGAACTACAAACCACTGCTCAACGAAATAAAAGAGGACACAAACAAATGGAAGAAAATTCCATGCTCATAGATAGGAAGAATCAACATCGTGAAAATGGCCATACTGCCCAAGGTAATTTATAGATTCAATGCCATCTCCATCAAGCTACCAATGACTTTCTTCACAGAATTGGAAAAAACTACTTTAAAGTTCATATGGAACCCAAAAAGAGCCCACATTGCCAAGACAATCCTAAGCCAAAAGAACAAAGCTGGAGGCATCATGCTACCTGACTTCAAACTATACTACAAGGCTACAGTAACCAAAACAGCATGGTACTGGTACCAAAACAGATATATACACCAATGGAACAGAACAGACCCCTCAGAAATAATACCACACATCTACAACCATCTGATCTTTGACAAACCTGACAAAAACAAGAAATGGGGAAAGGATTCCCTGTTTAATAAATGGTGTTGAGAAAACTGGCTAGCCATATGTAGAAAGCTGAAACTGGATCCCTTCCTTACACCTTTTACAAAAATTAATTCAAGATGGATTAAAGACTTAAATATTAGACCTAAAACCATAAAAACCCTAGAAGAAAACCTAGGCAATACCATTCAGGACATAGGCATGGGCAAGGACTTCATGACTAAAACACCAAAAGCAATGGCAACAAAAGCCAAAATTAACAAATGGGATCTAATTAAACTAAAGAGCTTCTGCACATCAAAAGAAACTACCATCAGAGTGAACAGGCAACCTACAGAATGGGAGAAAACTTTTGCAATCTACCCATCTGACAAAGGGCTAATATCCAGAATCTACCAAGAACTTAAACAAATTTACAAGAAAACATCGAACAACCCCAACAAAAAGTGGGCAAAGGATATGAACAGACACTTCTCAAAAGAAGACATTTATGCAGCCAACAGACACATGAAAAAATGCTCATCATCACTGGCCATCAGAGAAATGCAAATCAAAACCACAATCAGATACCAGCTCACACCAGTTAGAATGGTGAACATTAAAAAGTTAGGAAACAACAGGTGTTGGAGAGGATGTGGAGAAATAAGAACACTTTTACATTGTTGGTGGGACTGTAAACTAGTTCAACCATCGTGGAAGACAGTGTGGTGATTTCTCAAGGATCTAGAACTAGAAATACCATTTGACCCAGCCATCCCATTACTGGGTATATACCCAAAGGATTATAAATCATGCTGCTATAAAGACACATGCACACGTACGTTTATTCCAGCACTATTCACAATAGCAAAGACTTGGAACCAACCCAAATGCTCATCAGTGATAGACTGGATTAAGAAAATGTGGCACATATACACCATGGAATACTATGCCACCATAAAAAAGGATGAGTTCATGTCCTTTGTAGGGACATGGATGAAGCTGGAAACCATCATTCTCAGCAAACTATCACAAGGACAGAAAACCAAACACCTCATGTTCTCACTCATAGGTGGGAATTGAACAATGAGAACACTTGGACACAGGAAGGGGAACATCACACACTGGGGCCTGTCGTGGGGTGGGGGGAGGGAGGAGGGATAGCATTAGGAGATATACCTAATGTAAATGACGAGTTAATGGGTGCAGCACACCAACATGGCACAAGTATACAAATGTAACAAACCTGCATGTTATGCACATGTACCCTAGAACATAAAGTACAATGATAATAATAAAAAAGAATCTTGAGAGGACTGGAAACCAAGTTGGATGTTCAACAGCTATAAACAACGTCTCAAATTATAAGACAGAGGTCCTATCACTGACAGTGACACACCAGTTTACCCCCTCAATATTTCCAAGACAAGCCTCTGGCTGGTCATGCCATCAGTTCAGCTACCACTGCTTTTACTGGAAACTGGATGAAACTACTAAAGTTGCAGCCACCAAATGCAAGAATAGTCAGGGAGGCACCTGCTTCATTGGATGAAAATTTATCCGGCCTGAGCCAAGGTACAAAGAAGACTGGAAAGACGTTTTCAGTTTTGATAATGGCTGAAGTCTCTCCTTCAAAAGGCAAGGGAGTCTTTAAAATATAAGAGAACCCAAAAGAATGAGAAATGTCTACCACCAAGTTAAAGTAGGGACATTTTGAAAGTTCATTTTGTATATTCAGAGATTCTACTTCACATGAACATTTCCATAACATACCATAGAACACACCTTTACTAAAGTAACTTGACAAGAGAAAAAAGAGCAGTCAACATATTCTCCCTAAAGAGTATTTAAACGGAGACAACAGTATCATTTGTGAATTCTTTAAAAGATGCTCTGAGATGTACAATTCAATCTGCTGCCACTTCTAAAAAGTAGCAGTTTTCAAATTCTTCTTCTGTGATTAAATGATCTTTTCTCTGATCTTGTCAAGAATATCCATATTACATGTATACCCAGATGTGCATCTACAATATATGCTTTACACCCTAATATTCCTTGAATATCTAAAACCATTTGTTTTCCTAAAACAGTGTATCATAATGCTCAGTTCGGTTGAAGACTGAAATCCTACTTGTTTTGAGAAGATTCTGAATAAAGGAAAAGAGACATTATCAGTGATACTCTGATGTACTGGTAAACATTTTTTAACATTATCAATGGTTTTCTGTGTCTTAGTCATGTGATCTGCTTTCAAAAGCACTTTCATTAGTTAAGTTCCGGTCTGACTCACAAATGCATTGAGGGCAATTTGCTGTATCTTGAAGACTATATTAATTTGATGATCTTCCCTGAGTTTTGAGCATTACTAGCAGCAAAACCCAAAAGGTCCTAAAAAAAATACTGACTATAATTTTACATTAGATAAGATAAATTATAACTATGAGTCTAAACTTTGAACGATTCTTTCTTTTTTTCATTCTTTTATTAAAATGTTTATTCTAATGTAATAGTTAAAAATATTTCAATTGCTTTTGTTTTTTGCTTTTTTGATACAGGGTCTCCTTCTGTTGCCCAGGCTAGATGCGGTGGTGCTATCATGGGTCACTGCAGCCTCCACCTCCCAGGCTCAAGAGTTCTTCCCGCCTCAACCTCCCAAGTTGCCAGGACTACAGGCATGTGCCACCAATACCACCATGCCCAGCTAATTTTTTTTCTTTTTTTTTGGTTGAGATGGGGTTTTGCCATGTTGCCCAGGCTGGTCTTGAACTCCCAGGCTCAACTAATCCGCCGCCTTGGCCACCTAAAGTGCCAGTATTACAGGCGTGAGCCACTGCCCCTGGCCCAAATTGTTTTTTACTGCACATATCTGATGCAGAAATTTTCAGTTTTTAAAATTGATATGTAATATTGTACATATTTATGATACAAGCATGCAATTTGTATTGATCAAATCAGGGTATTTAGGATATCCATCACCTCAAACATTTGTTTCTTTGTGTTAGGAACATTTCAAATGTTCTCTTCTAGCTATTTTGAAACATAAAATAAATCATTGTTAATTATAGTCATCCTACTGTGCTACTGAACACTAGAATGTATTCCTTCTCTCTAGCTGTGTGTTTGTACCCGATAACTAACCTGTCTTTATTCCCAATCCCACCCTTCCTAGACTCTGGTAACCATCCTTCTATTCTCTACCTCCACGAAATCAAATTTTCTAGCTTCCACATATGAATGAGAACATGGAGTACTTGTCTTTCTGTACCTGGCTTATTTCACTTAACATAATGACCTCCAGTTCCATCCATATTGCCACAAATGACAAGATTTCATTTTTTATGGCTAAATAGTGTTCTGTTGTACATATATTCCACATTTTCTTTATCCGTTCATCCGTTGATGAATTCCTAAGTTGATTCTATATCTTAGCTACCATGAATAGTGCTGATAAAAATGGGATGCAGATATCCCTTTGATATACTGATTTCCTTTCCATTAGCTACATACCCAGTAGTGGGATTGCTGGATTATATATATATGGTGGTTCCATTTTAAGTTTCTAAGAAGCCTCCATACATTTACCAAAATAGCTATACTAATTTACATTCCCATCAATAGTGTACAAGAGTTCCCTTTTCTCCATTTCCTTGCCAGCACGCTATTTTTTTCATAATAGACATTCTAACTGGGACGAGATATCTCACTGTGGTTTTGATTTGCATTTTCCTGATGATTAGAGAGATGCTGAGCATTTTTTCTTCTGTCTGTTGGCCATTCGTATGTCTTCTGTTGAGAATGTCCACTCAGAAGCTTAGCCAACTTTTAAATGGGATTATTTGTATTTTTGCTGTTGGTTGAGTTTGTTGTATATTCTGGATATTAGTCACCTGTTAGATGAATAGTTAGTGAATATTTTCTTCCATTCTACAGGTCATCTACTCATTCTATTGACTGTATCCTTTGCTGTGCCTAAGCTTTTTAGTTTGTCTACTTTTGTTTTTGTTGGCTGTGCTTTTGCAACCTTAGCCATAAAATCTTTGCTTAGACCAATGTCCTGAAGCATTTTCTCTATGTTTTCTTCTAGCGGTTTTATAGTTTCAGGTCTTATATTTAAGTCTTTAGTCCACTTTGAATTGACTTTCTATATGGTGAAAGATAGGAGTCTAGTTTCATTCCTCTGCATATGAATATCCAGTGTTCCAAAGCACCATTTATTGAAGAGGGTGTCCTTTCCCCAGTATATGCTCTTGGTACTTTTGTCACCAAGATACCATACTGTTTTGGTAACTACACCTTTGTATTATATTTTAGAGTCAGGTAGTGTGATGCCTCCAGCTTTGTTCTTTTTGCTCAGTACTGCTTTGAGTATTCAGGGTCTTTTGTGGTTCCATATGAATTTTAGAATTGATTTTTCTACTTCTGTGAAGAATGTCATTGGTATTTTGATAGAGATTGCATTGAATCTGTAGATTGCTTCATGTAGTATGGTCATTTTAATAATATTAATTATTTTAATCCATGAGCATGGGATGTTTTTCCATTTGTTTCTGTCCTTTTCAATTACTTTCAAAAGGGTTTTGTAATTTTCATTGTAAAGGGCTTTCACTTCGAGATCTGAGAGACCAAAATAAATGTCCCTTTGTCAACTAAGATGAATCCTAAGCTTAAGGATACAAAAGTTGCCTGTGGTCTGAGGGTTCACGGTTCAGCGTTCAGGGATCAGCTGGCATGGCAACTGTCTCAATTCCTACGGCTACAAGAAAAAACACACCTTTGCTAAATTCTCTAACAATAGGCGTTATCAAACAAATTATCAGATTGCTTCCTAACTCTGATTTACAACCCAGGCCACTATAACTCTGATTGAAAAGAGAACTGGCTTTACAAATGCTCTTTCTTGATAAACAACTGTAGACTTTAGGGCAGCTTCAACCAGCTTATAGAGGCTGCATACAAACTGTCTTTGTGTCCTATTGTTCACCTTCTCATGTGAAGAGCCAAATTCCATCTCCTTTTACTGCTATAACCCCGCTCAAAAGTGATCAAGGGATGTATGTTAAATATGCTTACCCATTACACATGCACTCAACTTCCCTCACAAATATGTACAGCTGCCCCTCCAAACCTGCTGAATAATATGTCTATTTTGTGATACAGGCCCTGTGAGGCATAAAACCCAACCTGCCCTTTTCATCTTCAAAGGGAGGTTTGTAAACTGATATTGCCAATAAAGACCTCTTTTCTACTACTTAGCCTTTCTGGTGGTCTTTTGGATGACAACCTCTTTGGTCAAATTTAGGTATTTTTTAAATTTATTTTTGTAGCTATTGTAAATGCGTTTGCTTTCCTGATTTCCTTTTTTGGCTACTTTGTTACTGGTATGTAAATATGCTATTGATTTTCGTATGTTCATTTTGTATCCTGCAACTTTAATGAATTTATTGGTTCTAAGAGTTTCTGATAGAGTCCTAAGGTTTGTCTATATATAAGATCACGTCATCTGCAAAGAGGGACAATTTGACTTCCTCCTTTCCAATTTGGATGCTCTTTATTTCTTTTTCTTGACTGATTGTTCCGAATAAGACTTCCAGTACTGTCTTGAAAAGGAGTAGTGAAAGTGGGCATCCCCATGGACACAGGAAGGGGAACATCACACTCTGGGGACTGTTGTGGGGTGGGGGGAAGGGGGAGGGATAGCTTTAGGAGATATACCTAATGCTAAATGATGAGTTAATGGGTGCAGCACACCAGCATGGCACATGTATACGTATGTAACTAACCTTCACATTGTGCACATGTACCCTAAAACTTAAAGTATAATCATAATAAAATAAAATAAATAAATAAATAAATAAATAAAAGTTTGGTGGGGCTGTCAAAAAAAAAAAAAGGAAAGTGGGCATCCTTATCTTGTTCCAGTTCTTAAGAGTAAAGGCTTTCAGTTTTTCCCCATTTAGTATCATGTTAGTCACATGTGTTTGTCATATTTGTTCTTTATTATGTTGAGGTTTGTTCCTCTATACCTAATTTGTTCAGAGTTTTCAACATGAAGGGATGTGAAACTTTATCAAATGCACTTTTTCTGGATCTATTGAGATGATTGCATAATTTTTGTCCATTCTGTTGATGTGATGTATCACATTTATTGATTTATGTATGTTGAACCATCCTGGCATCCCTGGGACAAATCCCACTTTGTCATGGAAGATTATCTTATTGATGTGCTGTTGGATTAATTTTCATAATATTTTGTTGAGGTTTTTGCACATATGTTCATCAGGAATATGGCTTACAATTTTCTTTTTTTGTTGTTTCCTTGTCTGGTTTTGGTGTCGAGGGAATGCTGATATTTTAGACTGGGTTAGGAAGAATTCCCTTCTCTTCAATTTTTTGGAACAGTTTGAGAAGAGTTGGTGTTAGTTCTTCTTTATAAGTTTGGTATACTTCAGCAGTAAAGCCATCAGGTACTGAGCTTTTCTTTGGTTGGAGACTTTTTGTTACTGATTCAATCTCATTTCTTGCTAATGGTCTGTTCAGGTTTCCTATTTCTTCTGGTTCAATCTTGATAGGCTGTGTGTGTCCAAGAATTTGCCTGTTTCCTACAGGTTTTCCAATTTATTAGCACGTAGTGGTTCATAATAGTCTCCAATGATCCTTTGTATTTCTGTGGTATCAGCTGTAATGTTCCTTTTTTGTTTCTAATTTTATTTATTTGGGTTTTCTCTCTTGTTCTCACGGTTAGCGTAACTAGTGATTTATTGATCTTTGTTTATCTTTTCAAAAAAAAGCTTTTCTTTTTGTTGATTCTTGTTTTTTAGTGTCTATTTTGTTTAGTTCTGCTCTGATCTTTATTTCTTTCCTTCAACTAATTTTGGATTTGTTTTTTTCTTGCTTATCTAGTTCCTTGAGCTGCATCACTAGGTTGTTTATTTGAAACTTTTTACTTTTTCGATTTAGGCATTTATTGCTATAAATCTCCCTCTTGGCAGTGCTCTGGCTATATTCCATATGCTTAGTAAGTTGTTCTTCAATTTTCATTTGTTCCGAGACGTTTTTAAATTTCCTTCTTTATTTCTTCATTGACTCACTGGTCATATAGGAGAGTGCTATTTAATTCCCATGTATTTGTATAGTTTCCAAAGTGCCTCTTGGTATTGATTTCTAGTTGTGTTCCACTGTGGTCTGAGAAGGTACTTGATATAATTTGTTCAGTGTTTTTTTTTTTTTTTTTTTTTTGAGGCCTAATATATGGTCTTTCCTAGAGAATATTCCATGTGCTGATGAGAAGATGTGTATTCTTCAGCTACTGGATGAAATATTATGTAAATATCTGTTAGATCCGTTTGGTTTATATATAGTGCAGATTAAGTCCAATGTTACTTTGCTGATTTTCACTCTAGATGATCTTTCCAGTGCTAACAGTGAGATGCTGAAGTCCCTAGCTAGTACTGTATTGGAGTCTATCTGTTTAGCTCTAATAATATTTGCTCTATATATCTGGATTCTCCAGTGCTGAGTGCATTTATATTTACAACTGTTATACCCTCACGCAGAATTGATCCTCTTATCATTATATAATGGCTTTCTTTATCTCTTTTTATATATTTTTAACTTAAAGGCTATTTGGTATAATATTATTATAGCTACTCTTGCACACTTTTGATTTCTGTTTGGGTGAAATATTTTTTTCCATGCCTTCACTTTCATTTTATGTGTGTCTACAGTTTCTCATAGGTGAAGAAAGCTTCTTGCAGGCAGCTTATAGTTAGGTCTTTTTAAAAATTCATTCAGCCAGTCTGTATCTTTTAATTGGGGAATTTAAACTGTTTACATTCAAGGTTGCTATTGATAGATGAGTTTCTGTCATTTTGTTAACTGTTTTCTGTTTGTTTTGTATTTGCTTCATTCCTTTATTCCTCTTTCATTGTTTATCTTTACAAATTGGTGGGCTTTTTGTTGTGATAACATTTGGCTCCTTTCTCTTTCTCATTTGTGTATCTGCAATACCAGTGAGTTGTATACTTTCATATGTTTTCATGTGGTAGATATCATCCTTTTGCTTCCAGATATAGGACTACCTTAGTATTTCTTGCAGAGCTGGTCTAACGGTGATGAATTCCCTCAGTTTTTGCTTGTCTGAAAAATAATTTATTTCTCCTATATTTTTGAAGGAGAGTTTTTATGCTTATCATGTTCTTAGCTGTCATTGTTTTTTCTTTCAATACTTTGAGTATAGTATCTCATTCTCTTTCACTTGTAAGGTTTCTGCTGAGAAATCCACTATTACTCTGATGGGGATTCCCTTACAGATGACTTGACACTTTTCTATTGCTGTTTTTAGAATTCTCTCTTTGTCTGTGACTTTTGACCGATTAACTATAATGTGCCTTGGAGAAGACCTTTTGGAATTGAATCAGTTTGGAGATTTTTGACCTTCCTTATCTGAGTATCTATATCTCTTGCAAGACTTGGGAATTTTTAACTGCTATTTTGTTAAATAGGTTTTCTATGCATTTGGCCATATCTTCTCCTTCTGGAACTAAAATTTGAGTATTTAGTTGGTTTATGGTGCCCAATATATTATGTAGGCTTTCTTTATTCTTCTTTTTTCTTTTCTTAATTGTGGCTTTGTTATTTCAAAAGACCTGTCTTCCAATTCAGAAATTAGTTTTTCTGCTTCATCTAGTCTATTGTTGAAGCTCTGAACTATATTTTTATTCTCCTCTTTTGATTTCTTCACTTCCAGGATTTCTGTTTGCTTCTTTCTTATGATATCTAGCCTTTGCTGAATTTCTCATTCAGATCATGACTTCTTTTCTTGATCTCTTTGTATTTTTATCAGTGTATTCCTATATCTCACTGAGTTTCTTTGTTTTCTTTTATTTATTTATTTATTTATTTTTGAGACAAGATCTCACTCTATCACTCAGGCTTGAGTGCAGTGGCGTGATCATGGCTTACTGCAGCCTCAACCTCCTGGGCTCGAGCAATCCTCCCACATCAGCTTCCCAAGTAGCTGGGACTATAGGTGTGCGCTACTATGCCTGACTAATTTTTAAATTTTTTGTAGAGACAGGGTCTCATATGTTGCCCAGACTGGTCTCTAATTCCTGAGCTCAAGTGATGTTCCTGCCTCAGTATCCCAAAGTGCTCAGATTACAGACATGAGCCACCATGCCTAGCCTCACTGAGTTTCTTTGATATCGTTACTTGGAATTATCTTTTAGGCATTTCATAGATTTCCTTTTTTGGGGTATCTGTTATGGAAAAATTATTGTGAACCTTTGGAGGTGTCACGTTTCCTTGCTTTTTCATTTTTCTGTGCCCTTATCTTGATATCTGCATATCTAATGTAACATTCACTTCTTCCAATTTTATGGATGGCTTTTTGGGGGAAGACTTTTTCCTACAGATATAGCTATAGTGCTGGTTGGGTTGAGTGCTTAGGCTTTGATTCTGGGTGGCTGTGTTGGTATAGTGTGTTTATAATTTCTTTGACTCTATCAGCATTAGTGGTGTCTGTGAGTTCCTCAGTGGCTTGGGCTGTCGTGAGACTGCTGGTAGTGGGCTTGGCAGGCTGGTATCCAGGCACCTAGGTGGTGCCTATAAGTGAATGCCAATGGTGGCAGGCTGGGCAGGCCAGTCTCTGGGTGCCCAGGAGGCACATGAGCACCAGTGCACATGGGCCCATCTTTACACCCCTAGACACCATGCATGTATATCAGTGGCAGCAAGAAGGGTGGGTATATTGTCAGGCCCCCGGACAGGAAGTGCAGCCAGTAGTGCCAGTGAGTAAGGTGTGTCAATTCCCAGGCACCCAAATGACACATGAGTGTCAGCCATGGCAGGTGAGGTGGACCTGTCTTCAGGCTCCCTGATAGTGTATGCAGACACAAGTGATAGCAAGCCAGGTGGATCAATCCCCAGGCCCTTGGATAACACATTTTCACTGTTTATTTCATAATAAAGATGCAAACTAGTTAGAAGCATTACCAAGCAAGTTGTCTTTTTTTTTTTTTTTTTTTTTTTGAGATGGAGTCTCACTCTGTCGCCAGGCTGGAGTGCAGTGGCACAATCTCAGCTCACTGCAACCTCCACCTCCTGGGCTCAAGCGATTCTCCTGCCTGAGCCTCCTGAGTAGCTTGGACTACAGGTGCGTGCCACCACGCCCAGCTAATTTTTGTATTTTTAGTAGAGATGAGGTTTCACCACCTTGGCCAGGATGGTCTCGATCTCTTGACCTTGTGACCTGCCCGCCTCAGCCTCCCAAAGTGTTTATAAGTGTTTATGGGATTACAAGTGTGAGCCACCACGCCCACAGTCTAATTATTACTTAGATTTCATCATTCCAGCTAAAAAAAAGATTCATAATTTATTCAATAACATAGTGATCATGTGCCATAAATACTGCCAGTTATTTAGTTTTGCTTTTTGAATAAAGAAAGAGTTGATCCCTCTTATTGATATAAGCATTAATCAATTGACTGAGTTTAACAATCCCTGGAATTAGCCAGCCCCACGGGATTTTTTAATTTGGCTTAACCTATCTACAACATCATGATTTCCCAATGTCTATGCTAGTTTTTAATCTCATTGCTCATATTTCTGTAAAGTTTTCTTCAATTTTTAAGCTTATAATGATCTCTAAACTATACATCCTTCTAAAGAACTTGGAATCACTGTTTCACAGGGCCTTTCTTGCCCATACCATAAAACTATTAGATTATGACGATATTTTATTCATTCACTCACAGAACAAACAGTAGTAAGCTTTAACTATACACAAAGCCCGGTGAACAACAACAAAAAAGTTAGTCTTGCATTTTAAAGAGTAGATCTTAATCTACTAATTATGTAATTCATTACATGATTATGATAGTCATAAGTGTTACAGAGGTGTACAGGATGCTGTGAGACCATGTAAAATGAAGTTCTAACATAGCTCCTCTTCAGTCTAGGTGACCTCAGTGAGCCCTAGCCTTACCAGTCACTTATAGAATCCATGGTCTGCTATTGTATTCACTCACATGTGTGGAAAACCAGGTGACTAAAAGACAGTAGGGGAAACTTCAACAAATACATACACAAAATAAATATGAACCAGTGTATAAACCAATCTTTAAATATACACAGAGATTTTCCCATCTAAAGAGAAAACTATTGTTTGACCATTTTTTCCTTGTAGGGAAAGTGAAACTGTCTCTGATTTTCCCTCTACCTCATCATTTTATCATTTCCACGTAATAACATGCATTACAATTCCCAAGCAACATGATAGGTGCTTTCATATGTGTTACCTTAATTATTTAAACTACTTAACCAAGGTAAAGTTGACATAAAGTACACATATTTAAAGTAGGCAATTTGATAAACTTTGTCATATCAATGTAACACTGAAATTACCAGATAATGAACATATCCTTCATCCCAAGGAAACAAATGCATCACCTCTCATATTCCTCCGTACTCTCTCCCTTAGCTGTTTCCTACCCGTCAATTCCAGACAACCACTGATCTGCTTTTCCTCACCATAGATTAAACTGCACTTTCTAGAATTTTCTAAAAATATTATGTACTCTTTTTATGTGTAATGTCTTTCACTCAGCATAATTATTTTCAGATTCACCCATGTTGTAGCACATATCAGTATTTCATCCCTTGTTATTGCCAAATAATATCCTATTGTATGGATATGCCACAATTTGTGCATCCATCTGTTGATGCACATGTCAGTTATTTTCAGTTTTAAGTTATTCCAAATAAAGCTATTATAGACATTTGTATATAATTCATAGTATAGATAGATATACCACACCAAGGTATGGTAAATTTCTCTTAAGTAAGTACATACTCAGGATTGGAATAGCTGGAATATATGACAGGTATTTGTTTAATATTTCTTAAAAGTTGCCGAACTGTTTTCCAAAGTGATTGTGGTATTGTATGTTCTCACCAGCAGTGTATGAAACTTCCAGTTCCTTCAGATACTCACCAACATTGGGTACAGTAAATCATTTTAATTTTAGCTATTTTTCAGGTGTACTTAATTGATTTCTCACTCTATAAAAATGACATATAATCCCATGTGATAGATCAACAAAACTGAAGCTCTGCCAGCATTTTCCCTCCAATGCAATAAATTACTAAAAGTTCCTTCAAAGTACACAAAATCGTGTTCTAATATAAAAATATGAAACTTAAAGTCAAAATTATTATGTTAGCTAATATATAATTGAACTTCCTTTCTATAGATTTATGTCACAGTAAAATTAGCACACAAGTTAGTTTTAATCTCAAGAACAGACTAGAATATGAAATTGTGTTAAAATGAAATATCTTATGTAAGGTCAGAAGGTCCAAATTTTAATACTATAATTCTGTAGATGTAGGGAGGATGAGATACTGCTTTGGTGTTATTATCAAACATTAGTTAACACTGTGAACATTTCACATATCAACTTGTCTCAAATGTTGTTACAAATATTTATAGAGAATAATTGTATTCACTATTTAAAGTTTCGAAGACCAAAGCTTGGCACAATTTGTGCTTGTGAAATTCCACCCTGGATGCTAAAATTTGGTGACCATTATAAATAAGTCAACAAAAGTGGGAAGGAAATAATTTTGTATCTCAGTGACAGCGGCAGTCAGGAAAATTTCTAAAATGTCTTAAGTGCCAAGACATGGCATTGTTGAAAAACTCAGGCAAAAAGACAAGTTTCATTGTCTATATGGAAACTTGCAACTCACAAATACCTGGGCATAGCAATACTTGTGAAGAAAGTAAGTAACATTATGGAAACTAGACGGAAAAAATAATTCAAATTGACTTAGCAAGATTTTAGTAAAATAACCAGTGTTAAAGTGCTGCCAATTTGAGGCCATTGCTTTAAAAAGCCAAACATTCCCCTAATGTTTGCTGGATCAAAGGGATGTGATCACAAAATAAAATGCATTCAAAAGCATACATGGAAATGTAATGGCAAAATAGAGATAGCTACAAATAAGATTATTTTTGGAAAAAACTTCACACTCTATCATGAAAAAATGACAATCTGCAGATTATTAGTGCTGCCAAAATTGGAGAAAGTTCTTGTGGTTAAAATAAAAGCAAAATATGCATAAATATACAAGGGTAACAAAAGCCTATTTTTTGCTTGTAGGAGCACTATAATTTTATTGAAATGGTAGGTGTTTCTAAAGAATAGAGAATGCAATCGCACTTAAAAAGACATCCATTTCTATATCTCATATATAGTAGTCATCTTTAAGCTGTTGACAAAAAAAAAATGTCCACAGGAAAAAACAAAAAGAGCAAATTTTTCAAAAAACATCCAAACTATAATAACCAAAGAAACACTTCATCTGTTCCCTGTTCTTCCTTCAGATAAATTTGAGATACATTCTTCTTAAAGAAAACAAAAGCCACTAACGAGAATTGATTTGTTCTAAGATACTGTGCGCTCTAAATCCCAAATTCTGTAAAGAATATCACAGCTATCTTTTCCATGTGTGTTCTGTGGGAAGAGGTATAAACACTATTTGGCTTGCACAATTTGGTTTCTTACATTGAAATGGGAGCAATGTTCAAAATAATCATGTGCATGAACAGTGAGTATTTCTTATTCAAATAGGAAGAGATGAGCGCAAGTTTTTTTTTTAAAGCTTTTATAAAATGAAGCTAGTCTCCAAAACTCTTCTACATAACTCCATTGAATAAACAGTGGATTTTAAAGGCTTCACAGCTGCTGTTTACCCACAGAAAAGGAAATACACAATTTGTTAATTAGATTTTTTTTTCTTAAACATATACTATTATTTTTATTCCATGTACAGGTGTGTCTTTGCACTAATGGTAAAATTAAGGAGAGAAAATGGAAGCAAGCTAGGGTAGTACCTTTTCTGAACATAGCAATTCATGAGCTGTGTTCTGAATTTACTAAGATCCAATGTTTCCTCTAACACAAGCAGATCTTTACTGTGGCCGTTTTAAATCAAGCGTATTAGCCGTGTGCAAGTCTCTGCTGTGCACAATGATTAAGTTTGTTTCACTGCCATAGAATGTAGATTTATTATTAGGTATTTTAAGTTCAAATCTCACCTATAATTTTAGATTACAATGCTGATTCTATAAAAGGAGGCTCAGAATTTTTAAGTTATTTTAGACTATTTTTGAGTTTTTATTTTATTCATACAAAACAAGGGCCATGATTTATAATGCACATTAGAGTATTTAGCAGAATATACTTTATTATATAAATTATTATATTCTTTTTAAAGTATAAAATATGCAATAATTATTATGAATATACATGTAAATTCGTGAAGTAAACAAACACAAATAGAAATATAAAGTACTCCTGCCCCTAAATATCATCTATAAATTATCAAGGTTTTTTTTGAGGGGGTGGCAATTCCTTTCATTCCCCTTCCACATACACACTCTTTGAAATTTACAATAATTGTGTAAATAAAATGTTGTACAGTGATTTACTTATTTATTTAAAACATAGATTTTCATCAGGCTATACTGTACATTCCTAATGAATATAAACAATTTACAAAGCGTACTGAGTTTCTATCTGACTTCTTGATGGAATACATATTTGAAAGGCAAAGAGCTCACACACACAGGCTCATTCTCTCTCTCTCTCCCCTCTGCCCCTTCTCATTCTTCCCTTCCCTCCCCTCTTATAATCCTCCCCCGTGCTCCCTATGTATATGTATCAGTCTGTCTGGTGACTAAGTCTTCGCTGCTGTATTTTATTTTGAATTGTTTTCTTGAGGAAGTCTCAAAAATAGAAGCCAAAAGATAGAATCAAAGGTATGATCACAGTTGTAACCCTCCCAATATTGATAAATTCTTCTAATTTATACTAGCAGCAATGTGTGAGTTCATAAACATCCCTACAGACTCACTAAAAATCAGATTTATGCTTTTTAGTGATTTAATAATTTAGTAGATGGACAGCAGTACACACCCTGGTTTTAATTTACATTTCTATAATATTACTAAGTTGAACATTTTTCCTTTCAAAATTACTTTTCGTGTTTTCATTTATACCAGCATTTGTTTTCATTCTCTGAATATCTGTCCTTTGAATATTACTCTTAAACATTTTCATTCATTGTCTAAATGACATCAGTATCAATTTTCTAGTCACTAAATGGATCAATAGTTCATCAAACTATTATATTTATTGAGATGCTAAATACAGAGAAATCAAGAAAATGTCACATCTAAGCCCCATTGCTTTTGTCTCTTTTTATATATTTGAAATATATATTTATTTATATACACCTATTTAATTACATTCAATCTCTTTTATATACTAAATGTCATCCTGTCATTGAATCTAAAGAGCTATAGGGAAAGTTTATCTTCCTCTGTATTCTTACCTCAATTTTGCAAGAATGTGTTTTAAATAATTCATGTTCCCATTATATGCTCACCTAATTTTCACATAATAAACACTATTTAACATTTATGAAAGCTCTAATTAAACATTGTCTTTTCTTCAATATGAGTAGTATTATTGTAACTTAGAGGATGAGTAAACATTTTGGTGACTCTTAAGGTTGAAATGAATCAGTCTGAAATTGCTTTCAAATCAGAGTTCTTTTCTACTGTAAAATTGTAGCAAAATTGACCAACTAAGAAATAATGATAAATACAACAATGTGCAATATTCCCCAATTCCAGATATTAAAACAATCATGTAAGACTTAGAATGCAAAATGTTCTGGAATGCTCATCATTACAAATTTTTTGGACATTTTCATGCCCAAAAATATAAGAAATAGTCCGTGGACTATGCATTTTAGTTATAATTCAACTTTCAATGTGTTTAAGCAGTGCAGTTGACTGCCTATTGGTAGATAGGCAAAAAGGACAAAGTTTACAAAGGAAGGTAAGCAAAATAAACATAATTTACTAAGATCACTTTAAATGTATCAGCTGGTCATATTAATATATGTATTTCTTCTTTAGTTATAAATGCTATACTCTTCTTTCATCTATTGATATATAAATAACAGTGATACACATATTTGTAACACTCTTCTAAACAAGCAAATGATTTATCTCACTAAATGACATCTCCCATTGGATTACATGGTACATTGTGTTGGCATGAATTACTTTGTTAGGTATATAACCTTAAATATGAAATAGCAATCAACAAGTATGCATAAAAATTATGTAAATATGCATGATGCAGTTTCCTGAATGGAGTGATTCTAGTTTCTCTATCTTATTTTGTCTATCTTAAGTTAAACTCCCTAACTCTGGAATTTGGAAATTGGTACGAATGTTTAATCATAACAATATCAAAATTTCAAAATTATCACTTTATTGATTCTTTTTTGTTTCTGGTGGAAGATGCAAAACTTGTCTATTAAAATTTTTGATGTAGACCTAAAAATTCCTATAGTTCCTGAAATAGGAAAATTGATTGTTTTGAAGAAATGTCTGGAGTAATGACATTAAGTTGGTAGTCATCAGTCTATAAATCATATTTAATGTCATGAGACTGAATGAGATCCCCAACAATAACTGCAAATAGATAAGCAGACTAAGTGCTCATCTTTCAGGGATTCCAAAATTAAAAGGTCTGAAAAATGTGGAGGAACAAGTGAGTCACAGGCCTCTAGGAAGATACATGTCTCTAATGCTCTGGATAGGTCAAGTAAGATGAGGGCCAAACACTAACCTACTGATATAGTAACTTAAAGGTCACTGTTGAACCTGACCAGAGTTCTAGGGGAATGGTGAGGACAAGAGTCTGATTTAAGTATGTTTAGGAGTTAATTAAAGGAGAATTAGAGACAACAAGTGTAGACATGTTGAGTTGCACTGCAAAGGGAAATGAAGAATGGCACAGAAGCTAGAAGGGCAAGGGAGGTTAACAGGTGTAAGAGTTTTTGTTGTTATTTGTTTTTTAAGACAAATGAAAATTTATAACAATTAATTCTTTATAAAGTTCCTAGATAACATACAACCTTAATCCAATTTAGAGCTCTAAGGAGGAAGGCCATTAAGAAATGATGACTAAGGCTAAATGGAAGAAAGTATTGTTACCTAGAAAACTTTGGACCCTCCATTAGACCAGACCTACGATAAAAAGGGAATTTACAGGCACCCTAACTACATATCAAAAGCAAACCTTTTCTAAATGATAACTGGGGTAAAGGGAAATAGCCTGAGGGACTACTTCAAGAACAGGTGAAAATGCAAAGCCGTATCAGATGGTCTTTTAGGAGGATATCAGTATGCCTTGTAAACAAATTGTTTGTAAGCGATGGATTAAAATCTCTTTGGTAATAATTGATCAAATGCAGTAAGTTTACATCAATAAAACAGAGCAATAGTAATTGTGTTATTATCTGTCACTGGTTCAATTTGATGTTTAAAATGTACTGTTAGGAATTGCTTAAATATCTGTCTGAAGTATCAGAATTGTACTGTTACAGCATATGAAACATGTAAATATCATCTGATCCTGCTCTAACCAGACCCTTACACCAAACCATCACCGAGTGACAAGGTTTTCCGGAACACCCTAAAACTTTTATCAAAGGGGGCTGATCATAACAGGTAATTAATTCAAACTACCCAAGGGTGCCACTATCAGTTGGTGCAGACCCTTCGTCCTCTTGGGCCCAGGGAACCTCGAAGCACCTGCACTGCTACAGACACACACACCACCACAGGAGCTGCTATTGGCCTTAGCTTTCCTGTCCCTCCACCCCAACCTGCCCAGCTACCATGACTTACAAGTGGTGCCCATAAAGTGGAACAGATTGCAAATGGACTACCATTTATATTGCATTTCTTTTTCTAGATGAACATGATTTTGAGGTAATCAGTGGTTAATACCAACATCCTGGTGAAATACAGACACAAAACCTCCCACTATAACTTAAGCTAGACCCAACCCATATATACCAGTAATTCAATCAGCTACAACTGTAATTACAGAACTCAATGCCATATAAATCTCACTACATATTGAAACTTAAGGCATTCCAGAAACCATCTTGAAGATGTATGTATATTTAAATATAAAGGATTGGCCTCAGAATATTTCTAAGTTGTGAAGATGTCAACAGAAATTTTAACAATTAAAATGGACAAATATCAGCTTTCCTCTTTGGGAAAATTTTATGTTTTTGCAGACATGTCTGAAATGAAAATTTGCCCCTATATTTTTTTCTTTGAGAATTGCACTTTTCTGACAGCAATATGCAGTTCCACGCAGTTCCACCCACTTCCCACTGCTTTTCAGACTCATGTGGCAGAAGCGCCACCAAAATACACATACATATTCATAAGCTGTCTGAAGCATTAATTCCACACATGGCAATGTATACTTGCATCTGTGGTTGGAGCTTCTAATTTGCAAAAGCAAATATAATGTGTCTAAAAATCTTGATGAGTGAGCCTTTCAAATTCAAGCCCAGAACATTAAGGATCCATGTATACATAATTTCAAGCAGCAATAGGCTAAAGTCTTCTGACTACCTAATATAATTCTCTCCAAGTCAGTGTCACTGTATGAATATGATTATTGCCCATGTTAATTTCTCTAATTTACTTCTTACATCTATTTCAGGTTATAAATATTCATAATTGTAGTGCTCTGGTAGTAGCCCCCCACCACTAGTCTACACTAAATTGTACTTGCTATAATATAAATCTATTTTCTCCCATTCTAATTTATGAAATGGCTGAGAAAAATGGCTTGCAATATCTTTTCAGAATAAAAATATAACCCAACCTTTTTTATTCAGTGTACAATGAGCTATTGGAGGAAATCTTGATTCACAAAAAAATTCAATAATCTTCCACATCACTGATTCTTTTTCTTTTCTTTTCTGTTAAATAATAATCTCATCAGTAGTTGAGCTGTTCTACCCCCTCTGTCCTTGAGTTCTAATTTTGCTGCAGGAGCGTAAAAGAGCACATCTCACTTTTACTCCTCTTTCTTGGGTGGGAGTACCTCCACGATTTGGCAGCTGCTTAAGTCAAGAAAATCCCTGCTTTGCTAATTCAGAATTCTTAAGCAAAGAAATTTGCACATACTAAGTGTTGGACAAATAAAGAATTAAAGGATTGGCATCAACCTAAAAGTATTAAAATAGTATGCAAGAATCAAAGTTGTAGACTTGCTAATTTCTTGGCAAATTTCAATATGACAAAAGTCATTAAAAGGTGAAAACCTCAATTAAACAAGTAATTGTTTTAACATGGTTAAACAAGTGATATTTTAATGAACTGACTCTGTAAATCTTGGTGAAAGAAAACAAATTGCTTCCCTACTAATATTTTGGAAAAGATAACAAATTACTTTGCTTGAATTTTGATTTTTTGTTTATTTGCACTGATTTTATTAATCATTCCAGTGGTTCAAAACAGACACCTGAAATTGCTCCGGGATTCCTAAAGAAAGCATACTGCCATTGTTAAAGTTTTGTTATTTATAGCACAGATTTTCTTCTAAAAGGCTGCAATAGCAAGGATTAAAAATGTTTATTAAATAATCTTGCAAATGAACATAAAATCTTCAGAAGCCAAACACTGTCCTTCGGCAGCACTGCACTCTCTTACAGAGTGTCTTTGGGGGAGCTATTTAACTACAAATAGTTTCATCTTCCAGGAAGACCCAAACTGCTTATGTAGATCTGATCCTCATTATTTGCCAATTCCTCATTTGCAAATTCATCTACTTGCTAAAATGTATTTATGACACCAAAATAAATACTGCAGTGCTTTCGGGGTCACTTGCAGACATGCACGGAGTGGCAAGAAAATGAACTACCCAATGTACACATTCCCAGCTTACACTGCCTTCTTGTTTCAGTTCTCAATACTCTCAACAGTGTTCTTTTCATGGTCTATTTAATGCCACATTTTTTGCATTTTGTGCTTCTTCTTGGTGATCGTGCTGCTCAAAAGGAGCCCCAAGCATAGTGCTGAAGTGCCGTCTAGTGTTCCTAAGTGCAAGAAAGCTGTTATGTGTCTCACAGAGAAAATACATGTGTTAGATAAACTCAGTTCAGGCATGGGTTTGACCGCTATTGACCATAAGTAGATTAAAAAAGGTGTCTTTAAAACAGAAACACATGAGATTATGTATAGGTCGTTCAGAAAAATGTGACAAGAGACTCACAGGAACTAACCCACCCTGTATTTCTCCCAGGAGAAATGGTTCAGTATTTGCTAACTAAGATGATGTGACAGAACAGAACTTCCACAAATAATAAGCATCAACTGTATATCTCCAATCAACTTGGCTGTGATATCCCATTCCAAGGAGAGTCCGCACTGGTTGCGTAGAGGCGTGCTTGCATTTGTTTAACACTCTGTTCCTCCCTGTGTCCACTTCTACTTCATTAAAACCTGTGTTCTAGACCCTGGGGTTTTATTGGTGGGTTAACTCTGATTTGCAATTGACAAAAAAACTTTTATGGATTCACCACAATAACTTTGGGCCTAATAATGAAATTTTCGACTGAAATCCAAATTCCTAAAATCACTACTCTGCTTTTCAGTGTCTTCATATTTGGTAAGTCCACATGCAGGAAAATATTTGACTTGCTTTACCTTATGAAAACTAAAAGTAAAATTGTGAACACTACAGACTCTACACATAGACATGCTGATGTCAAATCACAGGAAAAAAAATGTGTGTTTTCTGTTATTTGAATTTTTTGAAATGAGTATCTTCAACAATTTTATAAATCTTTCCCTGGACAGCTATAATGTGACCAACTTTAAGTTGTGACATCCCTCTATTTTTTCAATCACCTTGAAAAACAGTCCAGTCCTTCATCCCTTTCCTTCTAGCTCCACACTTGGTCCCTTCATGATAAGACCCCTGGCACCAATCCTCCCTATTTAAAATAAAATTACTATATGGTATATACATTTTAAACTTTAAAACACTTTTAATTTGAGAGTTTAAAGTAATGCAATAAAAATGCTAGTGTAATATTTTGTCTATTTAACTGTCAGAACCTGTATCAGCCCATTAGTCAAGGTTCTCCAGAGAAAGGGGACCCAAGTGTGTGTGTGTGTGTGTTTGTGTGTGTGTGTAAATGTCTCATGCCATTGTAGAGACTGGAAAATCCAAAATCTAAGGGCAGGCAAGCTAGCTAGAAACTCAGGCAGGAGCTGGTACTGCAGTCTTGAGGCAAAACTTCTTTTCAGTTTTTGTTCTTGAGGTCTTCAACTGATTGATGAGGCCTCCCCACATTATCAAGGCTAATGCCTCTACTTAAAGCTTACTGAATATGGATGTTAACCATACCTACAAAAAACCTTCACAGCAACACACAGATAAGTGTTTAATCAAGAACTGGCCTCCACAGCCTGGCTAAGTTGACACGTGTAGCTAGCCATCACAGTACCTTAAACGATAAAGTTGCCTCCAATGAACATGAATAAGCAGTAGGGAAAAAGAACCACTTGAGGCAATCGCCTTGATCTTCAATCCCAGCTGTTTCACTAACAGTGTGGTTTTAAGAAAGTCATTTTTTCTTTCTGAACCTCAATATGCTTATTAAAAAACAAAACAAAACAAAAAACAAGTGGGGAGTATTAACACTTAGGTTTTGGTGGTCTTATATGAATTACATGAAGAGCTTAAGGCAATCAATGAGTGGCAGTAACTATGCTATTAGGGTCTACGTGTTTTTTTTTTTAGATGGAGTTTCGCTCTTGTTGCCCAGGCTGGAGTGCAATGGCACAATCTCGGCTCATCGCAACCTCCGCCTCCCAGGTTCAAGCGTTTCTCCTGCCTCAGCATCCCCAGTAGCTGGGATCACAGGCATGCGCCAACACACCTGGCTAATTTTGTATTTTTAGTAGAGACGGGGTTTCTCCATGTTGGTCAGGCTGGTCTCAAACTCCTGACCTCAGGTGATCCACCCGCCTCAGCCTCCCAAAGTGCTGGGATTACAGGCATGAGCCACCAGGCCCGGCCTGGGTCTACATCTTTTATACCTGTAATCTCAGACATTAATACATTCCTGGCAAATAGTATATGTTTCATAAATGCCTGTGAAAGGAAGGAAGAAAGGAGCGAAGGAAGAAAGGAAGGGAGAGAGGGTGGGAAAGAGGGAAGGAGAGAATTAATAAATAAATGAAGAATGTAAAGCTACATTTCTGAAAAAAAAAAGATGTGACTCTACTTGAGACTACAGAAAAAACAAACAAGAATAAGTAATAGTCCCAGCTTTTAAGAAATTTAGACCTGATAGTAAATAAGGCCAGTTTGCCAATAACCATAATACAAATAGATTAAGAAAGGAAGAAGACAATACATCTAATGCACAAGGCAATTTAATAATTCTTGTGTAAGTTCAGATAAAAAGCACATTATGAGACTATAAAGGCTCAAAAGCAAACACATGATGTATGAGAACAGCCATCCAAAGATTTTTGCACCACAGTAGATGGATTAGATAGATCTAAATGTGGTTTTCTAGACCTGGATTACTTTACAAGTTAATTGACAAGGATAGGAAGTTGCTAAATTTAAAACAAGGTAACAAAGTGACATCTTTAGAATGATACTATCAGAATGGAAGATGTAAAGGAGAACTGTAATTCAGTCAGTTGGAGCAACAGATAAAAGATTGGAACCTGAGGAATCCACCAGTGTTTACATCAAATTATCCAAGGAAAAGAATCTTATCAGGTGACTCAATAAGATTTTCCCATAACCTGGATGGAATATCCTTCAAGACCAACCAATTCCTTATGTTTCAATTCTGAGCCAATTGAGCAACTTTCCAGTTTCTGAATCTGCTTTGCAGACATCTTGTTGCAGAAAGGCAATATCCAAGAAAAGCACATCACTCACTCTAAGTTAGTATACAGGCACTCCAGTCCATAAAAATATTTTGTGAGGCTTACTAGCCTGGATTTATCTTCTAGGAACTATAGCAACTCTGGTTTTATTTTAAAAATGAAGTTTCTGGAACTTAAAATCTGAGAACCAGAAACTGCATTTCAATGAGCCGGACATGAGACAGGCCAGGTCAAAAGCCATGCAAGACTATCCTCTATATATCCCTCCCAAATGGTAGTATTTGGTTCATACCTGAGTGTTCAGGGCTGAAAGGACCCACAGGCTTAAGGAAAAGGATTAAGGATAAGAAGTATTTCAGTGGGCAGAAATTATGAGTAGACCATTCCAGATGGAGGGAAAAACAGAGCTAAGGTCCAAATATTGTGAAATACAATGTACATATGGACTAGAATAAACAGTCTCATTTTGATGGCACACAAGGTTCATACTTAGGAAGGTCTAGCAAGAATATTTTAAGGTAAACTATGACCATTTTGGGGAATTTTAATTGACCAGATTGGGAAATGATTTTTTTGTTTACTGACAATGAGAAGTCACCAAGTTTTAATTTTTTTGTCTAGTTAATATCAAAATTGTAACTCTATATTAGCATACTCAACTTGTTAAAAACATAGTTGGTAACTCTGAAGGAGTAAATGACCCATGAATTGCAACAGTTTAAGTAGGAGGTAAAAATAATCCAAGCTGGAAACACAGCTGTTTTAATAAAAACAGAGGATAAGAACTTGAGACTCTAAGAAAAGGATAATTATTGGGATTCACTGAGCATCTCATTGCATGTGAAAGGTGAGGGATGTGGAAAGGTTGACCCATACTCCAAGGCTAGTAATTAGGGGTAAAATAATGATCTTTTGTTTTTCAATTATTTATATGCTGTTCTATAACTTTTGAACATCATTTTATATTAATGCTTAGACTGACTTAATATCACCATTTAACATCTGCAACTGGGTTCATTTAAAGCCAAATTCAAAATGCCTAAACCCAATCTCTTTATCTTTCTTGCTATCCTGTAACCACAGTAAGCAGTGAGCTGAAGATTTTCTAAACGTTTCAACCACCCATAAAAACAAATGTATGCGGCCGGGTGCAGTGGCTCACACCTGTAATCCCAGCACTTTGGGAGGCCGAGGGGGGCGGATCACCTGAGGTCAGGAGTTTGAAACCAGCCTGGCCAACATGGCAAAACCCCATCTCTACTAAAAATACAAAAATTAGCCGGGCATGGTGGTTGGCGCCTGTAATCCCAGCTACTGGGGAGGCTGAGGCAGGAGAATTGCTTGAACTCAGAAGGCGAAGGTTGCAATGAGCCGAGATCAGGCCATTATACTCCAGTATGGGCAACAAGAACGAAACTAAAAAAAAAAAAAAAAATGTATGCAAAAGGCAAGAGAACAATCTAACAACATTGTTATACAAGATTCCCAAGAGTAAACTGTTCAAAAAGCAATGTTCTCCAGCTAGTAAATCTAGCACTTTTAGTCCTTTCTTGAGAGCTGACACTGATACCAAGAATCATAACAGTTGCCTGACTTTTCTTAATGCTGTCTAACCCACGAACATGTCCAATGTCTTCTTTTTCCAGAATCTTGTCTCAACAAAGCAGTATTTAGAAAACAGGAGCATTAGACTCTCAACAAGTAATTCACCAGTAGTACAAGAAGCCCAAATATGCCTCCTTGTGCTACTTTACCCATACACAATCCAACTAAAAAAAAAAAAAATGCATCCTAATGTTTAAAATAGAGTTACCACAGTAACAAAGTGAACAGTTAAAAAGCAATGAACTTAATCAATGCAAGTCATTGTTAGAAAGATCATCCCCTGAGACAAACCTCTCAGTGCTAACATTATTGCTATTTATCTGAAGTATTTTCTGAAAAGCTAAGAATGACTGACTGAGGGCTTCAGATCAATGAGGTGTTTTTTTTTCCTTTCAGTGAGCTAAAACTCCCAGTAGACCTAAGCCGTACTTTTAATCATGACATTAATCGATAACAATTACACCCAAGAGAATGCCAACATAGGTTTTCCAGGAAATCTCATAGGGCTTAAAGTGCTAAATTATAGAAATAGTCAATATTATGTGTTATTAAAATGGAATTCAGGTTGGTTTCTTCCTATTTCCCTAGAGCAGAATTATGGTGCTCTAGACCTAGAAATGTTGGTATAGTGCTTCTCAAATTTTAATAGCCTTAAGAATAACATGGATATCTTGTTAGACTATAGATTATCATACAGTTGGTCTGCAGTGTGTCCTCTGATCTGCATTTCTACAACCTCCTGGGTATTGACCATGCTGCTATTAATAGTAAGCAGGTGACACCTGCAGTAGCAAGATGTTGAACTCCATTAGATTGGTCGGGGGAAGAAGTAAAAATCACACCCATTGGCTGAGGGATACTAAGAGGTATTTGACCATAACAGAGAGATTTTTACTTCTAGATATTCCAACTCAAGCTGTCCTCCTTGCAAAATAACAGAGAAAAAGGCAACACTTAACTTACTTCAAAGAGCAGCATTTTCTAAATGCATTACAAAAAAAGAAAATTAATTATCTGGGATATCAATAGGTGTTGCCAGAAAAATAGAATGCTAATAGAAGGCTGAATGAATGGTCATACAACTGAGCTAAATGAAATTAAGTAATAACAATGGCTAACAGTTGTTGAGCACTTACTACGTGCCACGAATCGTTCTAAATCCACAATGTAGAATAACTCCTTTAATCTTCACAGCATCTCTATGAGGTGGGAACTAGAGTATTGCATTTTTCAGATGTGGAAAGGTAGGCAAGGAGAGGTTAAAAAACTTGTCCAAGTTCACAGTGCTAGTGAGCTGATGGGTGGTAGAGCCAAGAGCCAGGATTCAACCCTTGGCAGGCTGCCTCCAGAGCATGGGCTCTGCTCTCTAGAACATGATCACTTTTCATTATCAACAGAAAGTGTGAGTCATCACAAGGTGATGTAAGTACTTGTAAGTTGCCAATGAAGGGGAATATGCAATGAGGAGGAGAGAAGAAAACTTAAGTTATGGCAAGATAAGAGCATGAGAACAAGCCAGAGAAGGGAAAATTGAGAAAGTGGAAGTAATTGTTAGTGAAATAATAAATACAGAAGAGTGTACTGTAGTAGTGGAGACATCACCCACCCAGACACAGATGCACTAAATAGATCAATCTGCTTAGCAAATAAATGCCCAGGAGAGGAAAGCAAGGCAAGAAGCGGATCTCATCAACCACTGGAGGACACAAACAGTTTACTTCCACCAAATGTACTGAAAAGATCTCAATAACAAGAGCCATGATTATTCCTACGTTAAATATGCAATTTACAGATTAACTGGGCCCATTGCTGGGTCCCTCTCTTCTTCCTACAGGATGGATTGGACATTTTGCTTCTAACTAGCAACTTTGTGAAAGTGAGTAAGGACAATTTCAGTTTATTTTGATCTCATTCTGAGATTGGGCAATAGGCTTGGGAGAAGGAGGGTATGCTGTGAAACTGATTAAAATACAATCTAACAAATCCTAGATTTCAATGAACCCTCTCTGCCTGGCCTTCAGGTTGCAGGAGAAAAAAAAAATACAACAAGTAGATCCAATCTGAAATATGTAGTCTGAATCAGAAAACAGCCAGCGCATCATGCAGATTACATTACAGGTCAGGCAGAACAATAAATAAAGTAGTTGTTTGGTTAGATGAGCATTAGAAAATGGTTCGACTGTTCAGGTAAGTATTAAAACAAAAAACTAACCTTGCAAACTCCTGAAGTATGCAGAGATTCCTGGAATATTCTACTGAAAACTTAAAGAAAAGAAAAAGCTTAACTGGAGACAAAGGACTGCCTGTAAGCATCCTGAAGGCATCAGATTTGTAAATGTATTTACAGGCACCAAAACAGACATACTTTTGCAACTGAAACAAGAGAGGTCCTTTGGTCTCAAAGATTGAAATGTTATAAAAACATGCCAGGAATACATTGAACATGTTGTGGATTCAGTTCAGATCACAACAATAAAACCAATAAAACCATATTGTCGCAATATGGCAAGTCACACAAATTTTCAGGTTTCTCAATGCATATAAAAGCTATGCTTACACTACACTGTAGTCAATTAAGTCTGCAATAGCATTATGTCTTAAAAAATGCACATGCCTCAATGAAAAAAAAAATACTTTATTGCTAAAAAATGCTGACAATCGTCTCCAGTGGTCTCTTGACAGGGGATGATTTCAGGGTGAAACTGTTCCACCTCAGATCATCAGGCTCTTATGAGAATCTGATGCCGCTGATCTGACAGAAGGCAAGAAAGCAGAGCTCAGACGGTAATGCTCACTGGCTCACTGCTCAACTCCTATTGTGTCTATGGTTTGAGGTTTGGGGATTCTTGATGTAAGCCTTCAGGGAGTCCTAATCTCTTTGCCAGTGGAGAATCTAGTCTCAATATTGATGGCTGTTGATTGATCACAGTGGTGATTGCTGAAGGCTGAGGTGGCTGTAGCAATTTCCTCTTTTTTTAAAAAAAAAAAAATTGAGACAGGGTCACACTCCATGGCCCAGGCTGGAGTGCAGTGGCAATTTCTTGGCTCACTGCAACCTCTGCCTCCCAGGCTCAGGTGATCCTCCCACCTCAGCATCCCAAGTAGCTGGGACTACCGGTGTGTGCCACCATGCCTGGCTAATTTTTGTATTTTTTTCTAGAGATGAGGTTTCGCCATGTTGTCCAGGCTGGTCTCACACTTCTTGAGCTCAAGTGATCCACCACCTCAGCCTTCCAAAGTGCTGGGATTACAGACATAAGCCACCATACCAGCCCAATTTCTTTTCTTTTCTTTTTTTTCTTTTCCTTTTTTTTTTGAGACAGAGTCTTGCTCTATCTCCCAGGCTGGAATGCTGTGGCATGATCTTCGGCTCACTGAAACCTCCACCTCCTGGGTTCAAGCAATTCTCATGCCTTAGCCTCCCGAGTAGCTGGGATTACAGGTGTGTGCCACCAAGACTGGCTAATTTTTGTATTTCTAGTATAGACGGGATTTCACCATGTTAACCAGGCTGGTCTCGAACTCCTAGCCTCAAGTGATTCGCCCGCCTTGGCCTCCCAACCTGCTAGAGTTACAGGAGTGAGCCACCGTGCCTCACAACCAATTTCTTAACATAAGACAACAATGATGTTTGCTGCATCGGTTGACTCTTCATGAAAGATTTCTCTGTAGCATGTGATGCTTTTTGATGGCATTTTACCCACAGTAGAGTGTCTTTCAAAATTGGAGTCAATCCTCTCAAATCCTGCCACTGCTTTATCAACTAAGTTTATGTAAAACCCTAAATCCTTTGTTGTCATTTAAATAATGTTAACGGAATCTTCACCAGGAGTAGATTCTAGATTCTATCAAAAGAAATGACTTTATTTGTTCATCCATAAGAAGCCACTAGTCATCCATTCAAGTTTAATCATTAGATTGCAGCAATTCGGTCCTACTTTCAGGCTCTACTTTTTTTTTTTTTTTTTTTTTTTTTTTTTTTTTTTTTTTTTTGAGATGGGAGTTTTGCTCTTGTCGCCCAGGTTGGAGTACAATAGTGTTGTCTCAGCTCACTACAACCTCTGCCTCCTGGGTTCAAGCAATTCTCCTGCATCAGCTTCCCAAGTAGCTGGGATTACAGGCACCTGCCACCACACTCAGCTAATTTTTGTATTTTTAGTAGAGATGGAGTTTCACCATATTGGCCAGGCTGATCTCGAACTCCTGACCTCAGGCAATCTGCCCATCTTGGCCTCCCAAAGTGCTGGAATTACAGGCATGAACCACCTTCAGGTTCTACTTCTAATTCTAGTTCTCTTGATAGTTTAACCACATCTGCAGTTACCTCCACTACTGAAGTCCTGAACCCATCAAAGTCATCCATAAGTGTTGGAATCAACTTCTTCCAAACTCCTCTTATTGTTACGGTTTTAACCACCTCTGATGAATCATGAAGATTCTTAATGGCATTTAGAATGGTGATTCCTATCCAAAATGTTTTCAATTTACTTTGCCCAGATCTATCAGAGAAATCACTATATCAATGGCAGCTGTAGCCTTATGAAATACATTTCTTAAACAATAACACTTGAAAGTTGAAATTACTCTCTGATCCATGGGCTGCAGAATGGAGTTCCATTAGCAGCTATGAAAACATTTAATTCCTTGTCCATCTCCACCAGAGCTCTTGGGTGACCAGGTGCATTGTCAACGAAAAACAATATTTTGAAAGGAATCTTTTTTATCTGAATGGTAAGTCTTAACCGTGGCTTAAAATATTCAGAAACCATGCTGCAAACAGATGTGCTGTCACACAGGTTTTATTCCATTTATGGAGCACAGACAGAACAGATTTAGCATACATCTTAAAGGCCCCAGGATTTTCAGAATGGTCAATGAGCACTGGCTTCAACTTAAAGTTACCAGCTGCTTTAGCCCCTAACAAGGGAGTCAGCCTCTGCTTGGAGGCTTTGAAGCCAGGCATTCTCCTCTCTAGCTGTGAAAATCCTAGATGCTTCTTCTTCCGATAGAAGGATGTTTTGTCTTCATTGAAAATCTGTTATTTAGTGAAGCCACCTTCATCAATGATCTTAGCTAGATCTTCTGGATAACTTGCTGATGCTTCTACATCAGCACTTGCTGCTACACCTTGCACTTTTATTTTATGGTGATGGCTTCTTTCTTTAAACCTTATGAAACAAACTCTGTTAGCTTTCAACTTTTCTTCTGTAGCTTCCTCACCTCTCTCAGCATTCACAGAATTAAAGAGAGTTAGGACCTTACTCTGGATTAGGATTTGGCTTAAGGGTATGTTGTGGCTGCTTTGATCTTCTATCCAGACCACTAAAACTTTCTCCCTATCAGTACTAAGGCTGTTTTGTTTTCTTATCATTTGTGTGTTCACTGGAGTAGCACTTTTAATTTCCTTCAATAACTTTTCCTTGGCACTCACAATTTGGCTAAGTGTTTGGCACAAGAGGCCACACCTTACTAAGCTTAATCATTTATAGTTTTTGATTTACAATGAAAGACATGTGACTCTTCCTTTCACTTGACCCTTAGAAGTCATTGTAGAGTTATTAATTGGCTTAATTTCAATATTGTTTATCAGGGAATAGAGAGGCCTAAACAGAAGGAGGGAGATGAGGGAATAGCTGGTGGATGAACCAGTCAGAACACACACACTTAAGTTCGCTGTCTTATATGGGCACAATTTTTGGTATATCAAAACAATTACAATAGTAATTACAAAAATCATTCATCACAGATCACCATAAAAATATAATAAAAGTTTGAAAAATGGTGATAATTACCAAAACATGACACAGAAACTTGAAGTGAACATGTGCTACTGGAAAAATGGCAACAATAGACATGCTTGATGCAATGTTGCCACAAACCTTGAATTGTAAAAAAAATGCACAATCTGCAAAGCACAATCAAGTGAACAGCAATATAAAGACGTGTGCCTGTATGTATTCTTCGCTGTCACCTCAGCACCTCTAATGTCAGGTTCCAAGGTAAAGCAATCTAATTTTCTTATGCTAATACTTCAATCTACATTTACAAACTTTTCAAATATTTTATCTAAATGTTTTCTATCAGCATGCTCCTTTTTATAAGAATCTTTCATTGTTCCAAGACACAAATCATATCCCTTTGAATTCCAGATGAAAACATTTTAGGCCTATTTAGGATTTATTTCAATAGATATGTATACACATGTAAAGCAGTTTCAATGTTATTTAAAAATACACTTCATTGGTCTTATTGTGGTGACATTAGCTTGGCACTTAAGAAAATGCTTCCAGGTGGCAGGCACCTGCTCTGGCTTTAAAATGCCAACCTCAAAACCTACAGTCAGGCACCAAAGTGGGGAAGTGCAACAAACTATGTATTTCAGCACCTAGTAGTTTTGGCAGCTCATTTGGAACTGGTTATTGCCAGCTGGGCAGTTTGCCATTTCCTTGAGGCAAAATTAAAGTGGAAGATGCAAGGGTTTTATTGTAATTTTCCACCACATATTTATATCATTATGGGTTTTGTGCTGCTCTAGTCTCCACACAGTCTCACTGAATATCTTCTTATTATGTCACTGAGATTTGAAGCAAATATAGGATGATGCAGTGAAAACAAGTGGGCACTGTGTATAGTAAATGATTGCTGAAGATAACACTATGCTTATCAGAATGGGCTACATAATTTGCAGGGCCCCTTGTTCATAAAGCAGAGGAAAAGTGCCATTAAAGGTACTAAAATATCAAGTGTTTTCCTTTCTTCCGCAGCTTCCCCTCAACCTGCCATGGTGTTATTTGCTACTTGACATCCTTCAGGCACAGGGATATCTGCACAATAAATGCAGACCTTCCAGGGTTCTACCCCCACATGCGCACCCACAGCTCACACAAACTGCCCACTGGCTAGCGGCTGAGTTCTCTCTCCTTCCAGCTGCCAGAGCAATGCTCTGTGCACCACCTAGGAGAGGTGAGCTGGACATCTCCCTTCCCACACACAACTCTACTGCTCGAGCCCACAGGCAGAAGGATGACCCCCAGAAGCACTACAGTCCCTACATAAGGATGCATTAAGCATCTAGTTCAGGAGTGAGAAGTTTGCCCCACTGAGGCACCACAGTGGCACTCCTAGAAGGGGCGGCCACATCTATGCCCTGTTCTAAGACCTGTGGGGCTCCTGCGTCAGACCCTGACCCTCTCTGCCAGGGGCTGAGGATAGCAGCAGTTGTTGCGCAGGAGCAGGGAAGAAGAGGCCAGGTTGGGCTTGGGGTCCTCAGTGGTGGGGAAGCCAGAAGTGGACAACAGCACAAGTGGTCACCTGAACCAAGACTTCAAGTCTTGGGCATGTTCCATTATCCCACCAGACTTCACTTATAAAACATAAATACAAATATAAAATCAAGGATTTCAAGACAGTAAATTCAGAGCATAACACCCCAAACAATTGCTCTCATCACTGAGTAATGAAGCCAGTCCCGATGCATAAGAAACCCCAGGCCTCTGCCCACTTCTTTAGCACATGTACTAAAATTGGACAATAGTGAGATTAGCATCATACCTACACAAGGATGACATACAAATTTGTTATGTGTTTCATATTTTTATTTCATATAACTAAATACACATACACATACACACACACCCCCAAACCCAAAGAGAACACATAAAACTTGGGAAATCTGGATTGTGTGCCCATATCGATATCTTAGCTATGATACTAAACTAGAGTTTTGCAAAATGTCATTGAGAAAAACCATGCAGAGTTACAAGGGATATCTTTGTATTATGTCTTACAACTCCATATTATAATTATCACCGCTAAAAGAAAGACCGAAGCCCTATTAAAAGGACACATACAACATACAGGAAATCATTAGCAAAATTACCTATACCTAGATATAACCGGAACACTAAATTGAATATAATTTGACGTTAATATGTAAAAGAGCAATCCTTAAAATAACTTGCTTGAATACAAAATCTGCAAACACTATGTTCACCATGTTATTCCTCCTCTCAGGAGGAAAGCGTTCAGTTATCGTATTAGTTCGTTTTCACACTGCTATAAAGAAATACCCAGACTTGGGTAATTTACAAAGGAAAGAGCTTCTGCATGTCTAGGGAGGCCTCAGGAAACCTACAATCATGGTGGAAGGTGAAGGGGAAGCAGGCACTTCTTCACAAGGAGGCAGGAGAAGAAGTGAGAGCACAGGAAAAAGTACCATGTATAAAACCATCAGATCTTGTGAGAACTCACTCACTATCAGGAGAACAGCAGAGGGGAAACTGGCCCCATGATCCAATCACTTCCTTCCCTCCACACATGGGAATTACAATTCGAGATGAGATTTGGGTGGGGACACAGAGCCAAACCATATCAGTTATATTTTTTGTTAAAACATATCTAATCTAGCCAGGCATCATGGTTCACACCTGTTATCCCAGCACTTTGGGAGGCCAAGGCAGGTGGATCACCTCAGGTCAGGAGTTCTTGACCAGCCGGCCTACATGGCGAAACCCTAGTCTCTACTAAAAATACAAAAAATTAGCCAGGCATGGTGTCACATGCCTGTGATCCCAGCTACTCAGGAGGCTGAGGCAGGAGAATTGCTTGAACCTGGGAGGTGGAGGTTGCAGTGAGCTGAGATCATGCCATTGCACTCCATCCTGGGCAACAGGAGCGAAACTCTGTCTCAAAAAAACAACAACAAAAGACTTCTCTCATCTATTTAAGATAAAATGAAAATATGCATTCTAGAAACCACAAAAATACTCTGGAAACTTAAGTGTCTATGCAAAAGCATATCTTTATTTATAAAAAGAGGAGACAATTGTATGTGGGAAAGCCCAAAATCAACTTTAAAATGTTAAATTCTTGAATATGAAAACTGATCTACATACATTTACAACTGGAAGTACATATTTGATGCTGGTACAGTTACTTAAATTTTATATACAAAAGACAAAACATCTTGCCCATCAGATGGTGAAACATCACAAATATAATAGGGAAAATCTGAATTCTTCAGGCTGACTTCCCAGAGCACCTGAGCCAGATAAGAATTTTATGCTGCTCTTTAGGACTTTGTATTGTGAGTAGATGCCCAAATGAGATTATTCTCATTATAGTTCTAGGGAGAGGGTGAGGCCAAATCTGCAGGGCCACAGAGACAGACACTACCCAAAGAGCACCTATTTCTACTTAAACTGTTAGATGAGGTAATGGAAGAAACTTGCTAAATACC
This sequence comes from Homo sapiens, assembly GCF_000001405.40. Lineage (NCBI taxonomy): Eukaryota > Metazoa > Chordata > Mammalia > Primates > Hominidae > Homo > Homo sapiens. The sequence continues at coordinate 29,813,661 of NC_000014.9, forward strand.
ACAAGGCCTAGCACATTTGAAACACTCAATAGATATTAGCAATTAATATCAACAATGTCAGCATGCTTGCACTCTGACCTGTTAAGTGAACACTGACTCTGAATGTACATTACACATCCAATTACTATATCTACCATTTCTTGCTCTGTCAGACGATGTTCATAGCCAAGATCAACCCACCTTTTGGTTCCAGCCAGGACTCTGCAGAGACCTGAACTGTATAAACAACAAAAAAGTTAGGGATCAAATTAGTTTTGCCACTGCTACCTCTGTACCTCTGGGTAAACATTGGGCTGTTCATTAGCAAAATGGAATTTGAATTTCAAAGATGAATGAATATTCATTTACTTTGGGTAATTACATACTAAGGTATTCAAAATATATTTGTTGAATGAAAGACTGAATTAATGAATGGATATGTGCAGACTTCTCTCCAACCTGACTTTTTATTTTCTCTTTACTAGCTAAATTCCCTTGCAGCTTCATTTTAAAGTTAAAATATCAAGGTATTAGAGAAGGAACCACAAATAAAACAGTTATTTTGCTCACGACCTCACCTGACTGTATTGTCTGTCCCACTACATAATTAATCATTGCCAACCCCAGTCAGGTGTAGGTATGGCAACAACACTGGGTCAGCATTTGCCAGGTGTGGCAAATTACTGCATCTTCCTCTTTCCAAGTTTCAGCCTGGAGTCTAACAAAAAGCACTTAAGAACCTCCCAAGGCAGGAGCGCAGTGCTGGCTGACTATCAATGTCTTCTTGCTAGTGGTGCCCTAGTTCTGTTCCAACAGTCTCAAGTTCTTATGGATTCTTAGGATCCTGACTACATCAGTATACTAAGGAACTGGGCTTTTTCCCTGCCCTGTCTGGGCACCTGAAAGTTCTGAATAGCTAACCTCTTATGCCTGCATGTGCTCCAACTGCAGTCTGCACAGCTGACTTTGATGCACTTTTTCAAAGGTATATGCAAAACCCTCTCCACTCAGCTTAGGCTCGGATCCCAGGCTGGCTGCTTGCCCTGTCTCCATGATTCCCTGCTGCCTCCATTGCTGGCACCGACACAAATACAGCTTTGTATCTACTCACTACAAAAACCTTGAATCTGTTCTCTTCTCTCATTGATTCCTTAGCACTCGAAACTAAGCTAATTATATTTTATGCAATTTAATTAGCTGTATGCAAAATTTTTAATGACTAAGCAAAATATAGGAAAGAGCCAACTTGAACTGTATCACCATATACACAGTGTAAAGGATGGTTTAATATTTAAATAAGTGCCAGTCTAAAGGAAGATGACAGAATGCACGTATTAACATAGATGAACAAACCCAAAGTGTTTTGTGTTGATTCTCATTTTCTAAATTGTGTCATTAAAATCAACTGCGGCTCCAAGTGCCCTGGTTAATTCAGATCTATTTGAGAGGTTTCTCACTGACTTTAACATGAAAAGCCTTCTTAAAAAAGTGCATCAAACGACCTTATAATCATCAAGGAAAAAAAATTCCACAGTTGACTGCACACTACAACAGTAAAGAATTAATCTTGTCATGGCAAGACTACCATTAGAAACATCTAAATTACTTAAGACAAACTAAACATAAGATAATTAGTTATTTCTTTCTATTCCTCTAGTAAATCATAGTTAACATGAATACTGCAGAGTCTCATGATTTATATCCTTCCAGCATATTCTCACCTCTCCATTCCAGACGATCAAAATGTCCCTAGAGGGAAATTGTTGAGAGCAAGATGGAAAACATGACAGTGAGAGGGAAAATCTAGGTATAAAATACATGCCTTTGGCACAAACTCATGAAAAAACAAAACAAAATGTGGGAGAAATTTATTGATAGTAGTCTAACCGTTATAAGATCCTGGAACAATTTACAGTACTATGCAATGGAACATTCACTAAGGATTCAGCTTAACACATCTTGTAACATCCACCCTTTCTGGATAGTGGAACATGTCTCCCAGTCTCAAGGTTTTTCCTAAGTGACTATTAAGAATGTATATACTTTAAAAGTCTAAGTAGATGCATAGTCCATGAAACACTTCCAACTGTGTTTCTCAAATAGCGCAATTCCAGCCCCATGTTTATTTTCCAGTAAACTACAGAAATTATAATGGCATTTATGTCGACCAGTTTAAATGTGGTACCTCTTCTTGACATATTAATAATACTCATTTCTTTATTAGCTTAAGACATTCTTGCTACCTTCAATATAGGTATAAGCAAAGGGAGCATTTTGATAAACAACTTAGTCATATCAGGCCGGGCGCGGTGGCTCACACCTGTAATCCCATCACTTTGGGAGGCCGAGGTGGGCGGATCACAAAGTCAGGAGATCGAGACCATCCTGGCCAACATGGTGAAACCCCATCTCTACTAAAAATACAAAAATTAGCTGGGTGTCGTGGCACATGCCTGTAATCCCAGCTACTCAGGAGACTGAGGCAGAAGAGTCACTTGAACCAGGGAGTTGGAGGTTGCAGTGAGCCGAGATCTTGCCACTGCAATCCAGCCTGGGCAACAGAGCAAGACCAAGAGCCTCCATCTCAGTAAATAAATAAATAAATAACAGCTTAGTTGTGTCAATAGCTCATTAAAACTCTTCTTAGAAGCTTTTTATCAGTAGTTTTGGGAAATCAGTACAGAAAGAAAACCAAGCTTCCTGAGCTACCAACAATGCCCAAAAAAGCAAATAACTATGTGCCACACATTCAGGAATGACAACAGACACATGGTGGTAGGGAGATGATTTCATTGTTTTTAAAAATGTTTTATTGTTATTTAAATCTATTGTTATCACAGTTAAGAGAAAAAACGTTACCATAAATGTAACATTTAAATAAACTGGAGAGTTATTTGCTTTTCAAGTTCTCATCATATGAAGTCCAACATATGAACTTCTTTTAATTTTCTATTATCCTTAAGTGCTAGGTGACTTTTTCTCTTAAAATATAACCTCAGCCATATCATGACAAATCACCAGAAGTTCACATTTACTCTGACTTTGCACCTCTTTGGTTTCAGGGTGTCTTTAGCTTTGCTGACAGTTTTATATTTCAATGGATTGTAAAAGCTGTCATCCAGGATATTGTGTCCTCAATAGTGTAAATAATCTATTTTATGTGACCCTATGATTAGTAAAAAATGGTTCCCACATATTGAAATGTCCTCAAATTCCTGGAATTCTAAGAGACCATATTTTCTCTGTTGCTGCCTTCAGCAGAAAATACATATAAACTATCTATATTTGCAGTATTTAGGGACATACTAGGCTCCCAAAATGATTCATTTTAAATACATTTAGATAAAGATGACATATTAAGGCCTGAAGGATTACAATTAATTTTTCCAAATATATATTTATATACTTTACTTTTTATGTTGGCTTCAGCATTTTTGCAAGGTTGAGGACATGCTTCCTTGGGTCATCTTTGAAAGTATGTTTCTTTCAAGTTTACATATCTGATATCTGTGAAATTTTGAACTAACATAAATGTTCTTCACAAGAACTACAGTGGGCTTCTGCCAAATCAAAATGAGGGCATGCTGTGAGTGATCAGGGGCCCATTGGCACATAAATATATGTAACCTTTTAATAATGCCTTCTCCCAACTAAGCCAAGCACAAGGATGTGTGACAAACTGACACATTTTGACTTTTGAAAAGATTTCAAAAAAGATCCAGATTTCTTCAGTGAAAGGTCCCCTATCTCTCTGAAGACGACCCTCTGAAAAGCTGTGAACATTAGTTTTCACTAACTCATACCACAAGGGAAAAATGAAGACTATAATAAGATTAAGAGGAAGGAGGAGATTTATTTTTATTTAACAAATACATACCATTTGCTATATTATAGACACAGTTTTAAGTATCTTTAAGTATTGACTCAATAAATCCTCGTGACCTCTAACTTTATGGTTAGATATCATTATGTAATCTCCATTTTACAGACGAGAATATAGAGGACAGAGAGATGAGGTAACCTGCGGGAGATCACTAGGCTTATAAACTTCTAGGCCAGGATTTGAACCCAAGCAGCAAGACTCCAGAGTCATGCTCACAAGTGCCTTATTCTGCCTCTGCCAGCCACTGCTTCCCTAATTCTTCTTATAAATTCCACCCAAAAATCCAATAAAGAAAGAAAAGAAAACATTGTGATTACAAAGGAAAATAAAATTGTATAGCTTTGCCATTTTTTTCTTCTCAGTTAAAGGCAACTATTTTTTCATTTAAAAAAGATTTGTCTTCCAAACACAAATGACAAAAACAGCAGGGAAGGAAATGCTATTTTCAAGTTTTTAGGAGGTTATCATAAACAATGAAGAGAGAAAAACAAATTAAAGTTGTAAAAAAAAATGGCATTTGACAGTATTTCTTCTACCTTGCTGCCTATGACAATTTGACTGCACTGTGTTTGGTGGCTGTACTGAGCACCCTATGGTGTGAAAATGAAAGATGACCATGCTTGGAAAGAAAAGAGAAGCATATTGTAAGCAAGTGTAAATGCACAGTAAGGTCTGAATGTTGTGGAAATAAGCCCAGGCTGCTTCTCAATTCATGAGTTTAGCTGAGATGGCAGAACAGATGACAAACAACAACAAACAGAAACACCATACCACACAATTCTCTCCAATACTGGGGATAAATATCCACAGCAGTTTATTTAATTTGATGCTAATTTTCTTTCTTGTTTAACCAGTCTAAATATTTGCTATCTATTAAATATTCATGTATTGTGTTTTAATACCTTCAGGTTTTCATTCTGTAAGGAATTAATTTTTAAGTACCTGTAGTCAAAATTGTGCACTTTCCTCAAAATAACAACAAAAGCCTTTATTCAAAGACTTAATATCAATTAATTGGTCAAAATATGGGTCTGAAAGAGAATTCAATCTTCTTGGCATTTAACATTTCAAAACTGAAAAGAATACTTCATTTGAAAAAAAAAAAAAAGAAAAGTTCACCTATGCTCCAGTACAACTATTTTGTTTGGTTTCAATATCAATGGAAAGTCACTAATAGTTATTTTATTTCTCCTTGCAGTATCAGAAAGAGTCTAGTTATTTACAAAATATTGGCATATTCAATCTGTTCCTCTTAGATGTAAACTTTTTTTAAAATGATGTTCTATTTCTAGGTGAAGTTTCATAAATACTATCAATTTACTCTAAGAAAATTAAGTAATAACTTTAATGTATATAGTAGATATACTAGATATAGTAATAACCCATTAGTACTTTAAGTCTAACTACCAGTTAGTTTAAGAAAAATAAGCAAAATCTACTGACCTATCAAATCCCAAAATAAGAAATTTCTTATTAAAAGGGGGTGGGGGTACACTGTATTCTTCAAAAAGTCAATGTCAGAAAATACAAAGAAAGGCTGTGTAAATGTCTGCATTAAAGGAAAATAGGGAGACAACAACAAAATGCAGTGTCTGACCCAAGGCTGTATCCTGTACTGGAAGGAAAAATATAATCTAAAGGAAGTTATTGGCTCAATTGATAAAACTGAAATATAAATGGTAGGTTAAGGTACTTTATCAATGACAAATTTATTGATATTGATCATTGCACTGTGGTTATATAAAACAATACCTGATCCTTAGGAAATACATACTGGTGTGGAGAGGTGCAAAGGGCCATGGTGCGTAATATCCTCAGACAGTTCAGGAATTAAAAAAAGTCTGAGACAGAAAGAGAGAGAGCACATAAATAATAAAGCAAATGGGGGCCGGGCGCGGTGGCTCATGCCTGTAATCCCAGCACTTTGGGAGGCCGAGGCAGGCGGATCACGAGGTCAGGAGATCGAGACCATCCTGGCTAACGCAGTGAAACCCCGTCCCTACTAAAAATACAAAAAATTACCCGGGCGTGGTGGCGGGCGCCTGTAGTCCCAGCTACTCGGGAGGCTGAGGAAGGAGAATGGCATGAACCCGGCAGGCAGAGCTTGCAGTGAGCCGAGATTGCGCCACTGCACTCCAGCCTGGGCGACAGAGTGAGACTCCGTCTCAAAAAATAAAATAAAATAAAATAACATAAAATAAAATAAAATAAAATAAAGCAAATGGGGTAAAATGTTTAGATGAATCTAGGTAAAAGCTAGAGGAATGTTCTTTGTGTTTTTATTGTTGGCAAATTTTCTGTAAATTTGAAATTATTTCCAGATGAAAAGTAAAAACAACAACAATGAAACACTATTGACCTGAACCAACAGTACGAATTCAACTCCATGAAGGACACAAAAGCAGAGTCCCTGAAGTTTGCCCTCAAGGTATTGATATTACTTTGTAGACTGTCACAGACATTCAAGTCTCAAAAGATGTTGGTCCACAGAGAGTGCCAGTTATTTCTAATATGAAAGTCTCTCCAAAAAGATTCAGCCACTATAAACTCAGCCTCCACAATGAGAAGGTGAGGCATATCCGCCCTAAACACAATGGATACAGAATCATAAGGACACCCCATATTACCCCTGGAAATAAGGTTCATTCATACCACCAATCTAGAGGCAATACTTTCTGGCTACTACCCGGGTGGTCTGACTCAGTGAATATTTATTTAATGCCTACTATGTGCAGGCACCAGGCTATGTGCTAGGAAAAGATTAATAAACTTTGGCACTAGCCTTAAAGGAACTCACAGGCTAAGCAGAAAAAAGCACATACATTCTGTAATTAAAATAGAATCTATGAAATGCTGTTGTAACAAAGGTGTGTACCAAGTGTTCTGAGAAGGCTTCAGTGAATAGATGAGACCAAACATTTTTAATTATTCAATAAATATTTACTCCGTGTCAGAGAAAAGAAACTTAAGGATGAGTACGTGCTCTCCTAGCTGACAGGAAAAGTGAGAAGGGAATTCCAGGTAAAATCAACTAATAACACAAGAGAATGGCAGGAAGTCAACCAAGTAAAGGTGTTTTCATTGAATAATAAGCAGATCAGTATGGTTGGGAACACAGCATCTCCTGGGAATATGGATAATGGGGAAGACAAACCAATTAGGGCCAGATGCTGAATGGCCTTGTATAACACGCTAAGGAACCACAAGACAATCCTGTGGAGGGAATAGTAGAATATTTTCAACAATAAAAAGGTAAAGAAAGGGAAGGGAGAAAAGGAATAGCAGTTAACATGTAATTGCCATAGTCTTCAAATGTTATCAGAGCTTGAATTGAGACAACATCAACAAGGAAAGAGGCACAGATGAGGTGGAATGAGTTGTACTCAGCAAACCCACTGATTGTGTAGGATGAGATGTAATGGGGGAATGAGGTTAAGATGATGCAGCTTTCTAGCTTAAACTCTGGAAGTCATTAACAGTGATGGAGAGAAATGGGAAAAGATGAAGTCAGCTTTGAACACACTGAGTTTGAAATTCGAGTGTAGTATGCTTAGAAATGTTCAAGAGACTTTATAATTACAGGAGATACATTGAACTTCAGAATAGAAGTTAGGGTAAATATAATGAATTTTTACATGTTCACAATAGATTTTAGGGTAACACTGAGGATAATTAAATACATGACTGTGTTCTTGTATTCTCTAAGGTAGATTGTGTAGATTGAGAAGACAGCTAAGATAGACATCTTAAGACTGTCAGAAAGATATCAATCTAAAGGAAGGAGAATGAACAGCAGCCAGAATTCCGTGGTAACTCAGAGTACACAGCTCTTGGTATGTGGGTTAGGTACTCAGTGACCATGGTTCCACTAACATTCAATTCACTAAGGTCTATTAGTGAGGCACTGGATGCTTTGCTAGATCCTGACTATGATATTAGCCTGTTTTCTGTTCTATCTGAATAACATACTGACTTTTAAGTTTGAATAGAGACAGAGTTCAAGTTAAGTTCTCATTCTATTCACTCTCTCCTTACACACTGAATCGCAAAATTAAACAAAGGACTTTATTTTAAAAGGAAGCATAATCAGGGACACACTGGAATTTTTATAGACATTCAGGGCTTATAAAGCAACATAAAGGAAAAAAGGTTCACAAACTAATTCTTGAACACATTCACCCTCTTTTAAAAATTACTGATGGGCAAAATATCATAATAAACCATTGTTAAAATAATACAAATGTTCTGATTGCAACATGGCAATTCTAGGCAATTCTGGGTTAAACAATAGCATCCTCCACATGAATGCCTGCAGATGCACAGCTGAGACCATGTGTGCCTGCACACACACACCCACACACAACCTCCTCAAGCAGACAGACTCCACAGTCAGAGCAACCTTTTAAACACTTTGCCTTTATCACCCACAGAGACCACCAGTCTAGTGCAATCATCTACCCTCTCATAGAGACCGTGATACCTGTAATCAGTAACTCAGCACAGCGACCAGGTTTTACAACTAACTCCATGAACCAATTTGTTTCATATTTATTTTTTCTTTTTAAATTTTATGATTAATGCACTGCCCAGATCTTCAATGTTTTTGGCCTCCCAGGTCACTATGGAAAGCAATCTGTTTTTCTTGTACAATCATTTGAATAAATAATGCTCAGTCATCTGACTGCAAGTCTTCATTACACATGAGCTATAGAAAATAGTCACTGACAGATCAAGTTTAGTAGCTTCAAAACAAATTACGCAGAACGATTTCTATAGAATCCTTCAAGTGGTTTCTTCAGAAGTGATCTGAATTTCATCTTACGGGCATTGCACAATTTTCCTTTTTCATTTAGTGAGCATTTCTCTTGGGTCAATATTCACTTTATGTCTTTCTAATTCAGCAAATAAAGGCTCAGATCCAAAATGGCTTTGCTGTTTGTCTAGCATGTTAACAGAGCAATAATTATTTTAGTGCTTCAATCTGGACAGTCAAAAAGATGACCTTATTTTGAACCTCCTGTAAGAGAGACAGCACTGTTTATAAATAAAATCTCATGCTGAGAAATCCTTAGCTTCCTAAGGAAGAAAGCAATCACTGTGTTTGCAGGCAGCTAATGTTCTGCCCTTTACTTTAGGTACATAGTATCTAGATTTTCATCAACACTTTTAAAAATGTAGATCTAAGTACAGAATCCTGGGTTTTGTTCATGCATATCTGGAAACTATTCTGTTTAGGGAATATCCCACAAGCAGCTAGGACGCAAAAGGGACATTCTTTACTGATTCTTTTTACAAAGAAAATACTCCCACAGTTCTTAGTTCAGTCCCACAACATTCTTAAAGGGATACCTAACTAAAGAAGAGCTAGATATTTCTGTGAAGAATCAAAATGTTTTAAAAAAAAATTCTCCAAAGAAATTTTAAGGTAAAGCCAAAAGTAAATTAACAAAAGATGGATTGAAAATTGGAAACAATGCAGCCAGGTTTAAAAGTCACATTTTGAATTAAACAGGCCCCAACTCTAACATTTACAGGCTAAGTGACCTTAGACACGTTGTTTGATTTTGCTTGGACTCCACCTGGAAATAACTGAATATACTATGTGTGAATCAACTAAGCCCAGCACTGAGTACCCATAGGCACTCACTTTCTCCTTGGCTTTCCATTTGATACTGTAAATAACAACATCATTAGAGAATTGTATAATTTTCATATTATGCGAATGTGTGGTTTGGTTTATATTTCAGTGATTACTTGCCAGTCTGTAAACAAAGAATATCACAAAATATTCCATTTTGATATATGTTAAATTACCATCACAAGTGAATTCACAAGCTGTTATTTTTAATATTTGTTATTCGCAGAGCCTATGTTTTCCGAGAATAATGCAAAAGAAAAACCCATTCAAATGCAAATGTTAAAGTATATATTTAATTAATAAATATAAACAAGCTCACAATTTTAAAATATCCTGGGTCCTGACCCCATTGAATTGATAGCTCTAAATGACAGAATCATTGAATGAATACTATATTGCCACTTCTTTTGTGCTACAAATACAAATACAAAACACTCTTTAATGGAGCACTGTCCTCATTATACAACCGACCACTGACATAAAAGGCAAGAAGGTTAAGCCCACTTTTGAAAAGCTCTTAAGTAACAGGTCAGAGGACAGAAACGTTAGGATGAGACCATTATAAGTTGTTGATAGAAGAGGAAAGATAAAGTTTTTAATATTTGATTCTCAATTGTAAAAATTCCAAAATATTACATTCACGTTAATAAACATTTTTCATTTGAATGATGAATAGCCACCTGCTGAAGTCGAAGAAACAGGAGCTCACTCCTAATTGAAAACAGCAAGATTGTGTGTATTTCCCATTGCGTATTTTGGCTCTCCAAATGTTCAATTTGAGAACTCTGGGGCTAAGCCTTAGAAACACCCCCTGTTCTCCAGAAGCTGACACATTCTTCGGACACACACTGCATGCATTCAGTATAATTAGAATACGCACAGTTGGAATGCAGTGCTTGAGGCCCTTGCATTTTTAAATCAGGTTGTGTGAATTTTAAGTGAGTTATCAGCTACGATGAGGGTCCAGCAATTCTGTATTTGAAAGGTTCTTAAAAGGAAATAATAGGACCCAAATGTTCTAATGTTCCTTTATCATTTCAGAGAAACAGCCTCTGTCACACTTGCTACCTTCTGCCAAAGTCTACAAGGATCAAACTTAGTGGTAGCCAACTAAGCTAAATAATGCTTGTCCAAGTTTCTAAAACAAGTATTCATCACTTTCCATTTATGAAAATTAGAGGTAAGAACTATACTTTATCATTTTGAACCACCACATGATTTAAAAAGTAAACTTAACTTTTAACTTTCCCATCCCCCTTGGAAACCCCAACCACCACTTTTTAAGTCACAGGAGCGGGAGCAGCATAGTGCCCTCTTTCCTTACCTGATAAATGAGATCTCTCAACTGGAAGTCAATTTAGAATCAACATCATTTTCTATTCAGGGCCCAGCACCAATATTCAGGAAAAAATTGTTAGGCTCTCCAATTATAAACAGTGTGTCAAATGATCTTTCAAAAATGGTACTTGAAAAACAAACAATTTGGCTGACATCAACAGAATATATTCATACGCAGGAAATTCACTCACTATACTGATGAAACTATTCTATCAGATACCCTGTTAAATACATTCTTTACTGCTTACCAGTCTAGGCCAGTGATTTGGAGATAGTTATGAAATCGGCCATATGAAATCTCTAGGTATATCCTTGAGGATATGTCTTACTTATATATATATATTTTTAATTAGAGAGCCTTATGATTGCAGACATTCCAGCATTTGTCAGTAATGATGACACCATATTCTTTCACTCAACTGGACACTAACTCAGTAGATACCTACTTGTCAGTAGACTGAAAAGCCAGATAATTATCACCTCAATAGAAGATCCTTTCAGATTAATGCTGTATTTCATGGAAGGATTGGAATATCCACGCTTCAAATTTTTATTGGGTATAAAAATTTTCCAAAGAGATGTAAGACTTTTAGTTCAAAATCTAGTGAACCGCCAGTTTTCCTTAATGTGGAATTCAAAGATATGTGGTCTTTCTTGAGTTTCAGAAGACAGATTTTCTCAGGTTACATGTGCCAGGAAATGTGATATGTACGAAACATGAATACTTACACAGTCAAAAGGGCAAAATAATGTATAAAAGACTGTTTATTTACAATATGATAGAGGTATGCTCAGAAAGGGGTATTATGTGGCAGATATAAGGTCTGCAAAGTAATTTTGAGCTGACACTTGACAGACTTTAAGACGTAGTCACTGGTCAGGTAAAGGGTCATATATTTAAATGTGTGTGTGTGTACATGTATGCATTTGTGTGTGTATGCTTGGAAGAAGTCACTACCATGAAGCAGGAGAAATTCACTCTAGTAAAAGTGGCACACATTTCAGTGGGGTCGAAGATGTAAAGTAGATACTTGCCACTTCATCAAAGATGATTTACAAGTTTATACCAAGGTATGAACCTAATCCACAAAGGGATCATTATTTAAAAAAATGTAAAGAGGATAGTGACATGGTTTCAACTGCATTTTAGTCCTCTTAGTTAGAATTGAATTTTAAGACCTGGACTGTTTATCAACTGTAACTTTCCAAATAGGCTCACCAATATTTTGTCAACATAGTGGTTTTTGAAAGATATTTTTTTCCTATCCAGTTATGTTAAACTAAATTATGAGAACAAATTATATTGTTCATTTCCTCCTCCTCCACTATACAGGCAGGCAAGCCCCTGCTTTCCATTGTTTTGAGGGTTCTATTTTTCCCCCACCAAAACAAAAATGAACACCTATACTTGGGTTTTGCTCTCTAAAACCAAGGCTTCTTGAGAGTACTATGCTAGGTCTTCATAGACAGGGGATTCACAGAGGAAAAGAAGTTATGCAAAAAAGATACTGGTACATGCATGTTTATAGTAGCACAATTCACAACTGCAAAAATGTGGAACCAACCTAAATGCCCATCAATCAATGAGTGGATAAAGAAACTGCGTGGTATGTGTGTGTGTGTCTCTCTCTATATATATATATGGATGTACATATATACACACACATATATATGATGGAATATATATATACATATATATGATGGAATATATATATACATATATATGATGGAATATATATATACATATATATGATGGAATATATATATACATATATATGATGGAATATATATATACATATATATGATGGAATATATATATACATATATATGATGGAATATATATATACATATATATGATGGAATATATATATACATATATATGATGGAATATATATATACATATATATGATGGAATATATATATACATATATGATGGAATATATATATACATATATATGATGGAATATATATACATATATATGATGGAATATATGTATACATATATATGATGGAATATATGTATACATATATATGATGGAATATATGTATACATATATATGATGGAATATATATATATACATATATATGATGAAAATATATATACATATATACATACATATACACACACATATATATGTGTGTGTGTATATATATGTGTGTGTGTGTATATATGTGTATATATATATACACACATATATATACATATATACACATATATATATACATATATATACACATATATATACACATATATATATACATATATATATACACATATATATACATATATACACATATATATACACATATATATACACATATATATATATATATATATATACACACATATATATATATATATATATATATATATATATGATGGAATACTACTCAGCCATAAAAAGAAATGAATTAGTGGCATTCACAGCAACTTGGATGGGATTGGAGACTATTATCCTAAGTGAAGTAACTCAGGAATGAAAAATTGAACATCATATGTTCTCACTCATAAGTGGGAGCTAAGCTATGAGGATGCAAAGGCAGAAGAATGACACAATGGACTTTCAGGACTCTGGGGAAAGGGCGGGAAAGGAGTGAGGGATAAAAGATTATAAATTGGGTTCAGCATATACTGCTCAGGTGATGGGTGCACCAAAATTTCATAGTTCATCACTAAATAACTTACTCATGTAACCAAATACCACCTGTTCCCCCCAAATCTAGCAAATAATTTTTTTTAAAAAAGACAGGGGATTCATAAGTTATCAAATATTCTTGAGACCCAGTATCCCATAAATAGAATGCCCATGAAATCCTAAGAATTCAGTGAGGTAAATATTACTATCTACTCTTTTGCAACAGCAACAGCATGTGGGAGTTATGGTTAGATGGCACAAAGACAATTGGATGCATACTCTGGACTCTGAGTCCAGAGACCATGACCCTCCACTGGTGATCTTTCACAGGGCCATGCTTCCTTACGGTCAGCCTTCTCTTCCCATTCATCTTGCTCTGAGTACCATGCTACTCAAAGTATGAGTCAAGGAATAACAAAGTGATATGACTGGAAAATTACAGACAGAATCGAAGGCTCTTCCCCAGGCTTACTGAATCAAAATTCTTATTTTAAAAAGACTCCATGGTGATTCATTTGCACATTAAAATTTGGGAAACACTACCTTAGAATACAGCCTAACCATAAGAAAAGTGTTTACACTATTATATATTCTCTGGTTTCCCATTCCAGAGTGGAATTATTAAAATATTGACAAGTAAAGCAATATGATTATTTGGAGGCAAAAAGAGTAGAATTAAATATCTCACAGTCCAAATGGCATTGCTATCATTTCTTTGACACTCACCTAATTACCCAGAGAGCTCTTCTTCTTCTGACACCTTCTCCTATCTTGATCTTCCTCTTCCTCCCACTGTATCTCCCTCCCTCATTTCTTTTCCACCTGCTTTTCCTTGGCCTCCTTTTGTTTTCTCCTTTTATTTTCATTCTACTTTGACACTTATCTATTCCTACATTTATTCTCCTCTCTATGTCTTCCTCTCACCCAATTTCATCCCTATAATTCTCTTACCTAATAATAAATGTAAATCACATTTACATATTAGTGTTTGTCCATTTGCATCGCTATAAAGGAATACCTGAGCTTGAGTAATTTATAAAGAAAATAGGTTAATTTTGGCTCATGGTTCTGCAGGCTGTATAGGAAGTCTGATGCCAGTATCTGTTTCTGGTAAGGGCCTCAGGAAGTTTACAATCATGGCAGAAGGCAAAGGAGGAGCAGGCATGTCACATGGTGAGAGAGGGAGCAAGAGAGAGAAGGAGAAGGTGCCAGGCTCTCTTAAACAGCCAGATCTCCTAGAGTGAGATCTCGCTCATTACCATGAGGATAGCACCAAGCAATTCACAAGGGATTCCCCACCATGACCCAGACACCTCCCACTAGGCCCACCTCTAACATAGAGGTCACATTTCGACAGGAGACTTGGAGGGGACAAAACATCCAAACCATATCAATATTCTATTCTCCTTGACTAACACAAGGCCTTGTTAGTCCTTGGATCTTTAGAGGAAAAAGAGATTCTCTGTCTCTGAATGTACACATTCATAAAGAAATTCAACAGATAAAAGAATAATACTGATCTCAAGTGTTTAAAATGCATACATACATGTACTTATAAGCTTCATCACATAAATCTTAAAGATAATCAGAGATTGGTCCAACAAAACATATACTGAATTAGATATAAACACCTTGAAACCACCTGTATAAGATTTTTAAATGGCCACAAACTTTTTGACACTCCCTTAGGGAGAGGTGAGGTTTGTATCACTTTCCGTGAAATCTGGACAGGCTTATAATTGCTTCAGCCGATAGAATGCAGTGGAAATAGTGGTATGTAAAATTTCCTAGCTAGTCCTTAAGTGACAATAGAACTTTCTCTTGGATTTTTTGGAGTGCTCCCTCTTGGGAAGCTTTCTCTTAGGGGGCCTCTCACAGAAACCAGATGCCATGTTGTGAGAAGCCCAGGCCACGCATTATGAACATATGTAGGTAGTCCAGGCCATGGCCCAGGCAAACCCAAATCCATAATCATCCCTGGCCACAAGCCAAACATGTGAGTGAAGAAAACTTTGGATGAGTCCAGCCCCATCCCATTCATGTCTTTCTAGCTGAGACCCAAGGCATCATGGAATAGAGATTAAAAAGCACCCTGTGGCTTGTCTTAATTCCTGATCTCCAAAAATCCATGAGCAAAATTTAAAAATAAGTTGTTTAATGTCACTAAGTTTTAGGGTGATTTGTTACATAGCAGTAGATACTGGAATAAGGTCCACAATTAAAAGAAATAAAATCCATTATTAGATCTTTTAGGTATTTCAGTACCAGATTTTCCTCAAGTAGGATATAAAATTAACTGTCTCTTATTTAGGGAAGAGTGTCACAGCGTGCTTTTCGTTTTTACTCTTTTTAATCTTTTTGATGATGTGCTTTTTAAACCATAAGTATTTTAAATGAAATTTCTAATGCAGAGGGGAAGAAAAGGTTTCTTTGCATGTTCATTTGTTTCTAGCTACTCTTGATGTAATAAGAGACCTTCTTTTAAATAATTACCCTTAGGCAGGAAGACCATCATAACATAGTATTTCTCCACTAACACAAAAACCTCACATTAGAAAAAAATAGAATCTTGTTCAACTTCCCCACTTAAATCCTAACATTATACACACTTTGAACCAGATGTTGTCCCTAGTCACAATGTCCTACTTTTTTTTCATTTCACTAAGTTCATATTTACTGCTAAAATATTTCTTTCAAAATTTCATTTGCATATCAGGGAAAATAAACAAAACACAAAAATGAAAGCCAACTGATTCACTTATTTCCTCTACGCTGACAGATTTCATAGAAAGTGCTTTTGTAATAAAAAAATATTAATGAAGTAGCAATGTTTTGTGCAGACATTTGCTCCTCTGTCTACTTCATTTATAAATACATTTTAATGAGGTAATAGAGACTACACAGCTCTGCAAATGTTCCTTTTTCTAACATTTGTTCTGAATTCAAAGATTAGAAACAGCTAATCTGCTGCATTTTGGGGGCTGATTTGTGAATATAGCATTTAAAGCACATTGTTCGAGCATCTGGAAAGCTAACATCTCATAAATAGCCCATCCTCCCAAACATATGATTAGACAATAAGGGTAATCTGAAATTTGTTTAAAATCAGTAGCCATAAAGTAGATACAGTGTACTACAAATTGTCCCTCCCTCCTTCCCCACCCTCTATCCCAGAGTGTGTATTGAAATATGGCTTAATGGGCCTTCGTTTGCCAAGAAGACATTCAGAGTGGAGTTTGTCTTTGTACAATTAAATTATGCACATTGTCAAATCTTCTCATTTATTTAAGGAATCCATATTTTACTGAATTAATCTAAGAATTAAGTCAGGTCTACCCAGGATGTACTCTGTATTTCCTCAAATGCATATATTTATCTCTCTGTGTGTGTGTGTATTTAACCATAACAATCAGCAGACTTAAGAAAGGGTATGGTTCAAGTAGACAAAGTCTATCTTTTAATCAATACATTAAAAAAATCAAATTTAGCACAACTGGGAGTCATAAATATACTAAGCTTAACATAATATCCCATAGAAACTTTTTTTTTTTTTGGTCTCATGTGTTGGTTTTTGAGACAGGAGGGTCTTCCTCTGTTGCCCAGGCTGGAATGTAGTGGCATGATCACGGCTCACTGCAGCCTTGACCTCCTGGGCTCAAGAGATCCTCTCACCATAGTCTTCCCAGTAGCTGGGACTACATGCAAGTGCCACCACGCCCAACTAATTTTTTGTAGAAACGGGGTTTCGCCATATTGCCCAGGCTGCTCTCAAACTGCTGGGCTAGAGGGATCTGCCTGCCTTGGCCTCCCAAAGTGTTGGGTTTATAGGCATGACCCACTGCACCCAGCAGAAACTTATTTTCTAAAATAAGTCTATAAAGAAGAAAGTATTATTTCTGATTAATGTATCTCATAATTAATTCGGTTCATGAATTTATACTTTAAAGTCATTACATCAGTAGCTAACATTTATTGAGTGATATGATACTTGCCAGGCACAGAGTTAAGTGCTCTACGTGGTTGATTTCATAAATGCCTCAATACAACCCTATTAGGTAATACTATTTGTCCCCATTTTACAGATGAGAAAACGGAGGCAAAGCTTATTTACAAAATAGGCCTAAAGCTACACAGCTACAAAAGCTTATAAGATTTTCAAGTTTGGAAGAAACATTTAAGATGAGATAATGAAACTGTCGCTTGTAAATGAGAAAACTGAGGCCAGAACAGTTTAAGGTCACAGTTAAGTTAGCAGCTGAATGAGATCTAAAGCCAGTTCTCTCACTCACAGTCCAGTAGTTATTAGAATGTTTGGTTTTTTTTTTTTTTTTTTGGTTGGTTGTTTGTTTTTTGAGATGGAGTCTTGTTCTGTCATCCAGGCTGGAGTGCAATGGCCCAATCTCGGTTCACCGCAACCTCCATCTCCCAGGTTCAAGCGATTCTCCTGTCTCAGCCTCCCAAGTAGCTGGGATTACAGGCATGTGCCACCACACCCAGCTAATTTTTGTATTTTTAGTAGAGATGGGGTTTCACCATGTTTTTTATTTTCTCATTCTGTTTATGGGTTTTCAAGTTCTTACTCTCTTTTGTTCTCCTGTTTACATTCATCCCTTCCTAAGTTTGCTGTGTATTCTTCTAGGCCATGATTTCATCATTTACTGATTATTTAATAATCACTTATGGATGTCCATAATCAACATATATAGAATTATTTTTATTCATGTACATGTTAGATATCATAAGTATGTTGCTGTATTAGTCCAAAATTATGGTTGGGGGACCTGTCCATGTTAATACATGTATGTACATCCAGGTCATTATTTTTAATTTCTAGTTATATCTATCCTACTAACATACCATATTATTATTTATTTAAGTTGTTTTTGCTTTCCTCACAAACAAACAATGCTACAGTGGATATATTAGCACACATCTCCTTAGGCTTATCTGCAGAAGTTTCTGATTCAATGTAACTATGTATTTCCAACTTTGCTGGATACGGCCATATACTTTTCCAAAGCGATTGTACCAACTCACACTTTCACCCAATATAGAGATAGTTCCCACCCCACCACCACCACCAAAACTTCTCTAATTCATGACATCATCAAAACTCTTAAACTTCTGTTGGTGGGTATATGAAATGTTGCTCTCATCCTTATTTTACGCATTTCCCTGAGTACCACAAGCATGTTAATTTAATTGTTTAGATTTCCTTTTCTTTAAATTAGTTTATCATGCATGCATTTCTCCATTGACATGTTTGCATTTCTCTTATTGATTTATAAGACTTTTCTGTTTGTCTGTTATGTATGTTGTTTTCCTTCAGACAAAAATTGGCCTTTAGTTTTTTTAATAGTATCCTTTATTATACAGAGACTTTACTGGTGGTATAAAATTTATCTACCTTTTCTTATTTAGCTCAATAAAATCAAATTTATGTAACCATACGTTTTTCATCCAAAATGCTTATAAATGGACACCCTTATTTGTAACCTCCTCAGAGAAAACTGAGGAGAACACGAATTAGACTAGTTCCTTTTTTGCATTGAGCAAAATGCTCCAGAATGACTATTTCAATTTGAATACTATTCATTTGCTTTAAGTGGAACTATCCTTTCATTTTCTATCCTTTTATTTAAAGTAAAAATATTGAAATATTTACAATTTTTATTAAAATAACATTATCCATCTTAACAAGGCTCCCAGTGACGTACTAGTATAAATTTTATTAATGGCCCCATTTGTGGAATTTTATTTTATTCCTTTTGTACCTAGGTATCACACTTTGTATATGCAGCCTTCTTTCTCTCAAGTCAGTTTTTTTTATTACCGAGGTAACCTCCATAGTAACACTTCCTATCTTTAAGCTCCCTGCGAAGTTGGAAATACAAGCTATATACACACTTGAAGAATAGTATGTAAGAAAAGCAATTATAAGAACAAGATTAATTTTTGCTACAACTTATTAACTATAAAATATTTCTTTAAAAATATATCTCAAAAGGTTAGGGTAAAAAACAATCTAACTTTTGAAAGGTGGCTCCTAAAGAATGTTTATCCTGTCCCAGGTTATTCTTTGGGAAATCATGTGAATGAATAAATAGTATGTTAAGTAGCTCTACACATCTAACAACCTACCATTAGTTGTGTAACCACAGGTAAATCAATTTTATTTTCTTTCAATATAAGATAATATAATTAGTCAAAATGATTGTCGAAATTCTATTCTTTTATAATAAACCTGTTAAAGTACACACATACAGTCTATTCTTAAAAGACAAAGGGGCACTTACAGCAGCTATGAAACTAAAATTTCATTTTAACATTCAGCTACCCAAAATGGGATGGGCAACTTCCCTCCTTTAATATATTATATCTGCTGAAATAAAAACCATTACTAACAAATCAAAGGCAGTGTGCCTCAGAGGAAATGGATTCTAATGATGTCAGACAGGTATTTATTGTTTCTTCTAGAACAGGCAGAATTGAACAGCCTTTCCTTTCCCATCAAGTAGGAAACATTTCAGTATAAGAATATTTATAATATAGTATTCTACTTTACAATTGACTCCATATCCATTTTCTGAGTGATCTCAAAATAACTTTACTTTGGTTGACTTATCTTCCTATACAATGAAATTGCTATTTGTTGAATTCAACCAATTTCAATTTCATATATAAAAAAGCAATCCCTTTTACTCCTCTATTTTCTATCCATCAGACCCATTACAGACTAGACAGCAGCGAGCCTGAAAAAAAAAGGAAGAAAAAAAGAAAAGCTCTCAAGAGAGTAGCTATTCAAACCTCTCAAGGCAAAATACAGAGAAAAGGAACACAGCTCACTTCCTAAAGAACATGTCCTTCTCAATCTTCCCCTGATGGAGATCCCCTCCACAGATTTCCTACAAGAGACTTATTCCTCCTTTAAAAAGTAATTATATGAATTTTAACATTAAATACTATGTGTTCATGAAACTTTAATTTGTTTTAAATTACACAAATTTTTTAAGTAGGGTTTCTCAGTAAAAACACTATTGAGTTTTATCAAACTGTCTCTGCTCTAGACAGAAGCTGTTAGCCATTCATTGTTTTAGTAGAAGAATAAGTTCATCCAGGTTGTGATCTGGGCAAAAATATAGCTGTACCATTGATCTACTTTGTTTGTATTTTTGACATACTGTTGTGGAACTTCCATTTTTTCTCATTTGTTTGAAACAGAGGCCTGATTTTTAACTGACTTTTTCCCTCTAACGTGATTCTCTTTAGTTTGTTTTATATAGTGCAAATACTACATATTTCAATCAAATATCTTTTTTTCATTAACCCAAGTCCTCATATATAACTAAATTCTGGGTTTAGCTAGCCCTAAATTTTAGAAACAAAGTGAATTAACAAAAGCATACTCTTAATAATTTAATGGTTGGATGTTCAATTTATAGATAATTTACTATAATAAACATAATAATAATTTTTCTCCCCATTTTTTTTCTATTTTACTAAATATTAGTGTTATTGATCTTGTAAGAGATATACTAAAATGCCAATCACAATAATAAACTACTAAACTTATGGGGCAATTCTTACCTGTTAGGCACTACGGTAAGTATTTTAAAACAATTATCTCATTTTGTGCTTACACATCCCATAAAGTAAAAATACTATTATTCCCATCTTAGAAAGGAAGAAACTGACTCATCCATGTTAAGTAATTAGCCAAAAGTCATACGGATAAAGGTGGTGGAGCTAATATTCTCATTTACTCAGAGAACTCCATAGTCAATGTTTTTAAATGCCATGATTACCTCCTATTACACAGCTAAAGAGACCTGAGTTGCATAGTGCTGAGACCTGGGTTTTTTTTTCTCTGCGGAACTAACTTGTCCTTCCATATTTGTGAGTTTACAATCTGATGAATTAAAATTAACATACAAAGAAATACAAACAAATTCAGGAATCCCAACCAACAAGTAAATTTAATTAAAAATGTGTCATGTACTCATGCTGTGAATGCTGTTCATATACTGAAAAAAAACAAATTCATTTTATGGAAATAGTGGGGCATTTAAAGAAAACAAGATCAAAACCCTTCATTGATTTTGCTTACCATCTTGGTTGTGCCGATGGACACAAATAATAATTTGCATCTCACATCTCTTTCCTTCTTTTATTGGCTTGAACAATTGAAAGCCAAGTAACAGGTTCAACTTTTGCTTTCTCATGGGGTAAAAACTTGTAAGTACATAGTACACTTTACCTTCACAACCATAATACTGTAGATCTAGAGAAATTAGTTATTATTTTAAACCAACTTTGACTAAAAATTTGCTCCTTCTCATCGAAAGATTCCTTTCCCCAGTTTCCACTGACCAGCCTCGTTGAAATCTGGTCACCTCCAGGCTTTGCTTTTGAACAAATTACTCTTTTCTTTATTTATTTATTTATTTATTTTTTGAGACAGAGTCTTGCTCTGTCTCCCAGGCTGGAGTGCAGTGGCGCGATCTTGGCTCACCACAGCCTCTGCCTCCTGGGTTCAAGCGATTCTCCTGCCTCAGCCTTCTGAGTAGCTGGGATTACAGGCACACGCCACCACACCCAGCTAATTTTTGTATTTTTAGTAGAGACAGGGTTTCACCACGTTGGTCAAGCTTGTCTGGAACTCCTGACCTCATGATCCTCCCGCCTCAGCCTCCCAAAGTGCTGGGATTACAGGCGTGAGCCACCACACCCAGCCTGAACAAAATACTTTTAAATCTAGGTTTAACCAGTAATATATTCTTCCTCTAGTCCAGGACCCCTTTTCATAGTTCAAGTCATCATAAAACCCAATATAATGTATTAAAAGTAAAAATGTATAAGAAATATTATTTAAAAGGTATGAGCTAAGTATCATGGGAGATCAGAAGAAAGAGATGTCTCCCCAGATGAGACAATCAAGACAAGCATCACAGAGGAGGTGACATGAGAGCATGACTAAATCAAAACAGACTACAGAGAAGGCATTTCAAACAAAAAGAGGTCTGCTTGGGAATATCAAATACAGCTACCCAACTGCAAAACAAACACGTTTGGAAAGCAAGCTGGAGCTGATTTGAGGGGCTGAGCTCAGACTGAGGTTCTGGTATTCTATCTGGCGAACTGTGAAGAGTTATTAAAGATTTTTGAACCATTAAGTCTGAAGTCACAGCAGTGAACTAGAAAAATTAATATGATAACTGGAAGTAGGATGGAGCCTGAAAAGTTTATTACAAGGTTAAGGGCTGAAAGAGTGGTCAGTGGTTTGCAGGAGCTTGAGGAACTATTTAGTCACGTTGTAGGTGGGGTGCTCCTGAAGAATGATGGCAGGTGACAGGTAAAGAGAGCTGTAAGCCAGATACTGGCAAGCTTGGGTGCTAGAACAATGTTTTCAGAGTCCACCAGACCATGCTAATGAAATGAGTAGTTCGTGTGAGTAGGCAGTGGGAACTACAACTGCTGAGAAACTGCAGAACCACAGTCTCAGGAGCAAAAGTTTGCCAACACCTCCTCCTCATGCTCAGTCAAAGGCAATGAGAAAAGCAGCCTCCCCTAGAGAGGGTTCTGAGAGGAAGACCAGTCACATGAGAAGGTCCAAATTTCAGGAAAGGGGAGCACATGGGCATCATGAAGGCCCTGTTGGGTTAGCAATGAAACCTGAATGCCTTAGGGCCAATGAAAATGCTAAGAGTGGGAAGGCCACAGGTGAGTGAGCTAGACAAGGTTACGATTAAGTGTAGCCGGAAAGAAGTTAAAGAAAGAAATGGCAGGCCACATGATTCCATGAAGTACTCATAAAATTCATAATAAAATCACAATCACAGGATGGTTACCTTACATTCTGGCTTAGTTTCTGATGAGTATAGTTAAAATAATTCCATATACTTCCTTACCCAGTAAGACATCTTTATATCTATGGCTGGATTAAGACCTTAAATGGCCCTAAAAACTGTAAAAGGGGTCATGCACCTCCACACCATAAATAATTCCGAGAAGTATACCAACTGTAAAAGAAGTGAAAGGCAACTAAGTACCCTTCTTTCTCATAAGGTGTTTTTTTTAAAGAATTCAAAATGAAACTATTTCCAAAACTAATAGAAAAACAAAAATGAACAAACAAACTCTACTAGTTTTAGGTCTTCATGCTTTGCTACAGCATGAAGTACATGACTGATGTGCCTTAAAAAATTTAACTTGGTTCATAATACATAAACCATTGCACTTTCAATCAACTATTTTCTAATAAATACTAGCCATTAGCACTATGATTGTTTATTCAGCTTTCTTATGTGAATTTAAAGAAGCTTACTATTTAACACTA
This sequence comes from Homo sapiens, assembly GCF_000001405.40. NCBI lineage: Eukaryota > Metazoa > Chordata > Mammalia > Primates > Hominidae > Homo > Homo sapiens. The sequence continues at coordinate 29,837,471 of NC_000014.9, forward strand.
TAAAAGTAAAGAGGTAATCACATCCATTTGTAAAAACTCTTGAGTAACTAAAAACCTACTTTCAAGAAAGACAAATTAGGATGAAATGGAGTAGCATTAAAGATTTATATTAAATGAGTATTTATAATCTATGGCTTTGTCAAGTATAAATTCAATACAAGGTCTGATTTTATACCTAAAGCTTACATAAGTAAAATCAAACACAAAGTACTACCATTAATTATAGCAATATATACAGCAATAGTAATTCATGTGAGTAATCATAACTAAAACATTGATCCTCAACCATCAGTAAGAGTCATTAAGGTTTGCTAACTGTACTTACTGTGACATGCACAAACATATATATAAAATACTGTATACCTATATTTTAGGAAGATTTGAATGAATTTCAAGCATTGCTGTAAAAAGCTTTTTAATTAATTTGGGGTATGGTAAATTTACTCCATCAGTACCAATTTTGTAAACATTCTTGATTAGTCAATATGGTACTACATTAGAAAATACTGTTCCTTCATTGCTGTGGGCTTGGGAAACTATCTGGATTTCTCAGCACAGCACGAAACTGTACAGCACAAAACTCCCCCTGTTTGCATTCACATACTAATTTTCACAGGAGAAGACCTCAGCATGCTTTGTGAAGCGAAATGGATTCTGAAGTTTTCCTGATTTTTATAATACCTTTAGATAGGTTTTAGGGGGATGAAATTTTTGGACCCCTAAATATGGGAAAATGCCTGAGTTCTGCCCTCATACTTAAAGTTTAAATACATGAGCATAGGGTTAGAAATCACTTATCTTTTTTAATTAAAAAAATACAAAATAGAAAACTGCAGAGTATAATCAAGCAAACATCAACAGACCACCAACTCAATTTGTCCATTCTTAATATCAAGCCATAAGTGCTTCACATCTGTTGTTTATTAAGGAATTAAAAATTACAGATAGAATTGAGGCCCCCTGTATAATCCTTCCAAGAAATTAGTTAGAAATATAGAGTTTTGTAAAAATAGTTTTTAGACATATAAGAGGTTTCCTTAGCTTGCTTTTGGTTATTGGCTTTTAATTGCACAGTGATCAAAAAAAAGTTCTCTGTATGATACCCATATTTGCTGCTTATTGAGTTGTCTTCATGCCACATTACTCAATCCACATTATTCACTGTAAAATTGAAAACATGGTTTATTATCTAATTATTGGGTACAGGGATCTATATATAAGAGGATATATATATAAATGCAAGATATAATTCATGGAAAATGCATATTATTAAGAAACTATGCATAAATTTCAAAATTTTTGCACCAAACTAAACTCATACTAACTTGCTATAACATGTTTGAACAGGATCTAGTTTGAGGCACTAAGAGGACTAAGTAATGGGTTTGAAAAGAGTCCCTATCAGAGCAACATGAATTCTGTAAAACTGAAGCAAAAACAAACATCAAATTTATGGTAAAAACTGGGTGGAAGAATGATGCAATCACTGATGCTTTATGGAAAAACTTAGGGAAACAATGCCCAAAAGAATCAGTAGTTTACAAATGAATAATCCTTTTAAGAAGGGATGAGACAATGTTGAAGATAAAGCCCACAATGTCAAACCATTCACATCAATAAACGAAAAAAAAAATTCCTCGTTTATGCCCTAATTGAAGAAGACTGATGATTAACAGCAGACATAACACCACAGACATTTCAAGTGGTTCAACTTGCACAATTCTTACTGAAAAATTAAAGTTGACTAAATTTTCCAGTTGATGGATGCCAAAACTTTTGCACCCAGATCAGCTACAGCCAATGGCAGAGCTTTTGATGGAAATTTTAAACAACTGTGATCATGATCCTGAAGCATTTCTTCAAAGAATTGTAATAGGAGATGAATCATGGTACCACCAGTACTATCCTGAAAACAAAGCACAATCAAAGCAATGGCTACCAAGAAGTGGAAGTGGATCTGTCAAAGCAAAAGCAGACCTGCCAAAGGCAAAGTTCATGGCAATACTCTCCGGGGTGCACGGTGCAAGCTGTCAATGGATCTACCATTTGGGGGTCTGGAGGACGGTGGCCCTCTTCTCACAGCTCCACCAGGCAGTGCCCCAGTAGGGCTCTGTGTCTCCATGCCACATTTCCCCTCCATACAGCACTAGCAGAGGTTCTCCATGAGGGCCCTGCCCTGAAGCAAACTTCTGCTTGGACATCCCAGCATTTCCATATATCCTCTGAAATCTAGGCAGAGGTTTCCAAACCTCTGCCTAGACTTCTGTGCACTCCCAGGCTGAACACCATGTGGAAGCTGCCAAGGCTTGAGGCTTGCACCCTGTGAAGCCATGACCTGAGCTCTATGTTGGCCCCTTTCAGACACAGCTGGAGCAGCTGGGATGCAGGGCACCAAGTCCCTAGGCTGCACACAGCATGGGCTCCCTTGGACCAGCCCACAAAACCATTTTTTCCTCCTGGGCCTCCGGGCCTGTGATGGGAGGGCTGCCATGAAGACCTCTGACATGCCCTAGAGACATTTTCCCATTGTCCTGGGGATTAACATTCAGCTCATTACTTATGTAAATTTCTGCAGCCACCTTGAATTTCTCCTCAGAAAATGGGATTTTCTTTTCTATCACATTGTCAGGCGGCAAATTTTCAAACTTCTATACTCTGCTTCCCTCGTAAAACTGAATGCCTTTAACAGCATCAAAGTCACCTCTTCAATGCTTCGATGCTTGGAAATTTCTTCTGCCAGATACCCTAAATCATCTCTCTCAAGTTCAAAGTTCCACAAATCTCCAGGGCAGGGCAAAATGCTATCAGTCTCTTTCCTAAAACATAGGAAGAGTCACCTTTGCTCCAGTTCCCAACAGCTTCCTCATCTCCATCTGAGACTACCTCAGCCTGGATTTCATTGTCCATATCATTATCAGTATTTTTGTCAAAGCCATTCAACAAGTCTCCAGGGAGTTCCAAACTTTCCCACATTTCTCTGTCTTCTTCTGAGCCCTCCAAACTGTTTCAACCTCTGCCTGTTACTCAGTTCCAAAGTTGCTTCCACATTTATGGGTATCTTTTCATTAGCACCCCACTCCTGGTACCAATTTACTGTATTAGTCTGTTTTCATGCTCCTGATAAAGACATACCTGAGACGAGGGAATTTACAAAAGAAAGATGTTTAATGGACTTACAGTTCCACATGGCTGGGGAAGTCTCACAATCATGGCAGAAGGCAAGGAGGAGCAAGTCACGTCTTACATGGATGGCAGCAGGCAAAGAAAGAGAGCTTGTGCAGAGAAACTCCCCGTTATAAAACCATTTATAAAATCAGATCTCTTGAGACCCACTCACTATGACGAGAACAGCACGGGAAAGACCTGACCCCATGATTCAATCACTTCCTACCAGGTCCCTCCCACAACACGTGGGAATTCAAGATGACATTTGGGTGGGGACACAGCCAAACCGTATCAGGGGTAGTGCTGACCAAGACCACAGGAACCCACCTCTTGCATCAGCATGACCTGGATGTGAGACATGGAGTCAAAGAGGATCATTTTGGAGCTTTAAGATTTGACTGCCCTGCTGGATTCTGGACTTGCATGGGGCCTGTGGCCCCTTTCTTTTGGCCGATTTCTCTCATTTGGAATGGCTGAGTTTATCCAATGCCTGTACCCACATTGTATCAACGAAGTAACTAACTTGCTTTTGATTTTACAGGCTCATAGGCAGAAGAGACTTGCCTTGTTTCATGACAATATGCTTGTCTCAGATGAGACTTTGGACTGTGGACTTTTGAGTTAATGCTGAAATGAGTTAAGAATCTGGGGGACTGTTGGGAAGGCATGATTGGTTTTGAAATGTAAAAAGGACATGAGATTTTGGATGGGCCGGGGCAGAATTATATGGTTTGGTTGTGTCCTCACCCAAATCGTATCCTGAGTTCTAACTCCCACAATTCCCACATGCTGTGGGAAGAACCCATTGGGGGGTTACTGAATCATGAGGGTGGGTCTTTCCCATGTGGTTCTCATAATAGTGAATAAGTCTCACGAGATCTAATGGTTTTAAAAACGGAAGTTTCCCTGCACAAGCTCTCTCTTTGCCCGCTGCCATCCATGTAAGATGTGACTTGCTCCTTCTTGCCTTCCGCCATGATTATGAGGCCTCCCCAGCCATGGGGAACTATAAGTCCATTAAACCTCTGTTTCTTCCTGGTCTCGGGTATGTCTTTATCAGCAGCATGAAAAGAGACTAATACAAAGGCTATACTAACTTTATTTTTAAATTTTTTCTTTCTTCAATAATAAATTAATCTTTCCTTACTGTGACTGTTTTTACTTTTTAAATTTTTTAATTTTAACTTTTAAAACTTTTTGACTCTGTAATAACACTTACATGAAACACAAACACATTGTGCAGCTGTACCCCAAAAAAAATTTTCTTTTTTTATATACTTATTCTATAAATTTTTTTCTATTTTAAATTATTTTTTCACTTTTAAAATTTTTTGTTAAAAACTAAGGCACAAATGCACATATTAGCCTAAACACACAATTAGCCTAGGCCTACACAGGGTCAAGATTATCAATACCACTGTCTTCCAATCCCACATCTTGTCCCACTGGAATGTATTTGGGGACAATAACATGCATGGAGATGTCATCTTCTATGATAACAATGCTTTCTTCTGGAATACCTCCTAAAGGGCCTGCCTGAAGTTGTTTTGCAGTTAACTTGTTTTTACATCAGTGGAAGTACACTCTAAAATAATGATAAAAAGTATAGTATAGCAAATACATAAATCAGCAATATACTAGTTTATTATCATTTTCAAGTATTATGTACTGCAAACAATGGTATGTGCTATATTTTAAACAACTGGCAGTCAATGCAGCAGGCTTGTTGACACCAGCATCACCTCAAATACATGAGTAATGTGTTGTGCTATATCATTAAGATAGTTATGATGTCATTAGATGACGGGAATTATCCTCATTAGCTCCATTATAATCTCATAGGAACATCATTGTATAGGCAGTCCATTGTTGACTCAAACATCATTATGCAGTGCATGACTATATGCTAAAAACTCACCTATTCCCATTGAGAATTTGTCAGTTTCTCCTTGTTATTCTGTTTGCTTTGTTTAGATATTTAAAGGCTATGTTATTTGGGTATACATACCATCCAAACTGTCATACTGTTCTGGTGAAATGTTCCTTAAACATTTAATTAACTAATCCTTTTCTGTATGCTAATTGTCCATCAGTTGACACATGTTAGCCTCCAAACTGATATGTCTACAGGATTATGAGCATACCAAGCATGAAAATAGTCTTTCCTTTGAACCGCTTTTTCTGAAAGACTCCTGGGAGTATGGACCAGGCAGAGGGTTAAATGTGGGGAGCGGGTATAGCAGGGAAGAGAGAATGGCTGGCAACTCAAACTTTGGAGCAAAAGGTCATGAAAAAGACAGTATCCAAAAGTGAAATGGTAAACAAAAACTCAAACAAATCATCCCAACCAAGCAACTTATAGAAAGAGCCGGCCAGAGAAATAGAAGGTATTATTAACGGAATTGTTTATCCCCAAAATGTGTGTATTGAAGTCCTAACTCCTAGTACCTCAGAATGTGACTGTATTTGGAGGCAGGGCCCTTAAAGAGGCAATTAAGGTAAATGGGTAAGCCCTAATCCAATATGAATGGTGTCTTTATAATAAGAAGATGTTATGCCACAGAAGCACACAAAGGAAAGACCATGTGAAGATACAGAGAGAAGATGGCTATCTACAAACCAAAGAGAGAGGTCCTCAGAAGAAACCAACCCTGCTGACATCTTGATCTTGTACTTCTAGGCTCCAGGAGCATGAGAAAATAAACTTCTATTGTTTAAGTCACCCATTCTGTGGGACTTTTTTATGGCAGCTCCAGAAAATAAATATGGAAGATAAGTGCAAGGTATAAACTATAGGTACCAGACCCAAAGAGCTGCAGATATTGACAAAAAAACAGGATATAGAGCCTGAAAAATGTCTTCTACAGCCTGGTAAAGTTAGAGATTCTTTTACAGAGTCTCTAAAACCACCAATGGAGAGAAAATTCTAAATGGCTAGTCAAACATTTTTATGCATTCAAAACATCTTAAATGAACACATTTATTCAACAAACATTTATTGAGCATCTATACTATGTGCCAGGTACTATTCTATGAACTTGACTTCAGTAAGCAAAAGCAGACAAACATTCCTACCTACAATGGAGTTTCCACTCTGGTGCAGAGTAACACATAATGAATAGACCTAATAATAAATAAATGAGTTATAAAGTATGTTAGAAAATGGTAAATGTTATAGAGAAAACAGTATGGGAGATTAAGAGTAATAGTAAAAGTTGTTTGCAACTTAAACACAGCTGCAGGACAGGCTTCAATGAAAAGATGACATTCGAGCAGACTTGAAGGCAATTAAGCATGTCAACCTTGGATCCAGTATTGTAGTAAAAAATGTATAAATATAATCTCATTTATCATCAAGATACTAATAGTGAGAAAAATAAACCTATTTTAGGATAAAGAAGGTCAAGCTTAGAAAAGGCACAGAGCTATTGTGTGGAGGGCCTGGGATAACTGTGTGAACCAAGTATTTGGCAGTAAACAAACCTGGCTCCAGATTTTCTTTAAGGGCAAGTGAGGGAAACTTGGAAGAAAATAAATAACTATTGCAGAAATGCCAGTGATATATTAGAGGCAAGTGCAAGGAACTAGAGGAGAATAAAAGTGCAGCAAAGCTAGGACAACTTTCTCAGACAGAAGAGCTCTTGGAGAAGTGACAGTGAGTTGCACGTGTTGTGTATAAATAGAACTTTTAGCATAAGAAATACTCACTAAGTTAAAATGGAAGAAAAATATTGCTAGGATAGATTTTAAGAAGACTTCTATATAGTAAGACAAAATAATTGTCTAAAAAGAGTGAACCAATTCAACAAATTATGGTACATACCCATGTTAAGTAGATATAAAAATGTTTAAAAATAATTTTAATAATATGGGAAAACAATGAGCACATACGATGAGCCAAAAATATATAAATTCAGTAAAGTGTACTATAAACTGTTTAGCCTCACTCTATGTGGGTTTGTGGGTAATGTATGGACATGTATGTATATCATACATAGACATAGGTAAGAAAGAAAGCAATTTTTATCCCCATTTAGCAGGATAACAGATGATCGATAACCTGCAAATAACAGTAGTTTAATCAATACGGAAGTTATTTTTCTTCCACATTGAAAATTCGAAGTCTGAAGGTTGGCAGAAGCTTATACCAAGTTGTTAATGGCCCAGTCTCCCTCTAGTTACTCATTCTGCCACCATGGTCCAATATGGCTGTGGAGCTTTGTCCATCAGATATCCGTTCTGGTCAGAAAGATGGAGGAAAAGAGAAAGAAGAAAGGCACCCCTTTGCTGTTAAGATAATTTTCCATAATGACCATATAACATTTCTGGCTACAACATAACCTCCTGTAGCACAGCAAGGAAATACAGTCTTTACATGTGTGCAGCATGCCAATCTAACTTGTTATTATTGCTGTCTTTTTTTCTAATTAATGAAGAAAAGGAGACTAAATTAGGAAAGCATCTAGTAGTCACTGCCAAGACTGTTTTCTATGTTCTCCAATTTTTCTACAATGCTGGATAATATTTACAATTCTAAAGATACAAATGTTTTCTTGTTGAAGGTATGTCAAGTTGTTGAGTGCTACTAAAACATAACTGGTCTGTAAAGAAAATGCTTAAAGTTAAATTAAAAAACTAAATTATTCAGAGGTTAATTAAATAAATGTCTATTTGTTAATGAATATTAAGGAGCTATACTATCTTAGACACAAAATCTGTACATGTTTAAAGTATTTACCACCTATAAGCACACTACCAATATGACTATTCACAGAATTATTAGGTTATAAAACATACTTTTAAAAATCGTTGCAAAATTACATTTTTTGTATTGAAGTTCAACATTTGGAAAATACTTACATAAACTCTAAGCATAAGACAATGGGATAGAAATAAATGTACAATTCCAAAAACACAAGTAAATGGAAGATGGCATATAATTTTAATAGTCTGACTTAGATAATCTCACATTTTGCATGCTGGCATATTTTGCTAACTTGATAAAACTAATACAACTAAAAAAAATCACTACCCATGTAGCATTTGTAGTACAATCATAGTTTACAGTATAACAGAAATAATGTCTAAGAATACGTTAATGTTCATAGAATACTATAGAATAACCAGCAAAAACCTCTATCTGGTTGAAGAAACACAAACACTTCTGAACAACAGACTATGCATCTATTATTATTAAATATTTATTATGGAACAGAAATGTACTGATTCCCCTGCCAACTGGAGGCCCAGTATGTTGCTTAAAATTTACAATCTAAAATGGGTTGTTGATGAATCTATTTAATAACAGCTCAGGAGTTTATCTTACCATATTAAATACAGGCATCAATTGTAAAGTGTAACTTGATTTCAAATAATAAAATTTAAAAACCTTAAATTTAAGGAAATATACTATACATACATGTTATACCCAACCAGTACTGCATTTTTCAACATCTAAGTAGTGATAGTTCCTGCTCATATTTATTCATTCAATATCAAACTAAAATCAACATTTACTGATGTTAGGCATTCTTCTAGGCCCTGAGGATACAGGTATAAACAAGAAAAATCCCTGATTTATGGAGCTTACATTTTACTGTGAGAAACTATTAACAAACAAATATAAATACAATTTCAGGTGGTAATAAGTGCTCCAAAAAAACTGATAAGGAAAAAATGAAACATGAAGGGAAGGAGGGAGTATTTTGAATTTGGTCAAGGGTGGTCTTCCTGAGGGGTGACGTTTAGCTGTAGCTCTGACTGAGGGAGAGAGGTTACCCTATGAATATCCAGGAGAAGGCCACTCCAGGCAGAGGGCTCAATGAGTGCAAAAGCCCTGCACCATACACATCTCAACAGCAAGGAGCAGGACTGGAAGGAGCAAGGAGGGAAGTCACAGATGGCACACAAGCAGCCAGGTGCTGGGCCATGCAGGCTCTTGTGGGCCAGGTTAAGTGTGTTTGGTTTCACTGAAAATGAGATGGAAGCCATGCAGAAGGTTTATAGCAGAGCAGGAACATGATGGGCTCACTTTAGAAGGATCATTCTGACTGCTGAGTAGAAAAGAATCATACACAGACAAAGACAGAGGCAGAGACCAGTTAGCTGGTTGACTGGCAGGTGAGAGTGACAGTGGCAAGGACAAGGAAGTGATAAAAATGAGTAGAAGGAGTCAGAGTTGGGATACATTGTAAAGATACAGCTGAAAGCACTTGCTGATGAACTGGATATGGGATAAATGTGAAAGAGAGAAGTCAAGCATGACACCTGTGTTAAAGTGACCTCATGCTGGAAAACCCCACAGCTCCCAAGTTTAAACATGTTACACAGTTCAGGCTACAAATAGAGACCAACTGCAGGGTCGATAGCCAAATCCCTAGGAAAGATAATCTGATTGGCCCAGTTTGGATCAGGTGCCCCAGCAATTTCTGTAACTCCTGTACTGCAGGGGGGGTTGTGTCTAACATTATGCATTAGCTTCTTCCAGGATCTTCTCAGGCATGAATGTGCCAGGCAAATCCTAACTATAATCAACCCACCCTCCTTCATTCTAACCATTGTTCCAAGAGCTGTGCCAAGGACACTGCATATATTACCACAGTAATTACAATGAGTTGTGGTAATGTATAAATGGAAAAAACAAGACCCATAAATGCTAAACAACTCATCACTCAGCTGAGTAAGTGGCAGAGGTGAGATTTTCTGCCTCTTATGCAAACTTATCTAAGCTAATTTCTCCATATACAACATGAGGTTCTTTTTTGGTAGCAACCTCCAATAGTGAGAAGTAAGTGAAGAGTCTAAATTTACTTCCCTGGACATCACAAGCAGGTAGGAAAGGAAATCTTCTAATACACTGTGATCCACTGAGTATTAATCATCAACTACAAAAGTGCAAAAACAAAATTAAAAAAAAACAAATCTTTAAACTTGTTTACAGCTTTCTATTTTTTGTAGGGACTCTGATCATATATTTCATGCAACAGACTAACAAAAGGATTCAGTTATGCTCAAACAGGTATCAAAGCAACTACAATCCTCTGAAATATCAGCTAGCCCGTTTAAGATTCATGCTTCCATTGCCTTTCACAAAGGCCTCATTAAATTCAGATTCCTATGCTATGTTCTTGAAGGGGCAGGAAGTGTCTCTAAGATATTGTAGCCAATCCATAGATCTTGAACTCCACTTTCTATTTAAAGCATACACACACATGCATGCATGCGTGTTCTCTCTCTCTCTCTCCCCCCCCACCAACCTTTCACTCTCTCTAGGATTGGCAGAAGATGGTGCAGCAAGAAGCATAGGAATTGTCTCCCCATCTAGACAACAATTACACTGGCAGAATAGGTCTTACATAATTATTTTGGAACTCTGATGTCTATTGAAGGCTTACGACTAAGAATGCTTGGATGGTCAATGAGGGTTAATTCTGGTCAATGTCAGCTCTTTACACAGTAACAACTACTCATTTCCCACACCCAGTCCTATGGCAGGCAGCTCTTCTTGTGTTCATACAGAAACTTGCATACAGCTTATAGGAGCCAAGATGGGCAAAAAGGACACTGTCTTAAATATCAGAGATCTGTGTTCTGATTGCTGATTGCTGCTTCTGATCAAAAAGATGCAAAAGGTGGATGGCCATTATTGCACCTCTCCCCACTCTCTCAAAACCCTTTCCATCAAGCTGAAGTGACGTCCAGAAGAATTAAAGGGCCAGTACTCTTCCCACTCCACCCACACACACACACTTTATTTTTCACTTTTTTCCTTTTTGAAAGCCAGGCATTAAAGACTAAAACATTCAAAAGCAACTGCATATATGGGGAAAATTAGAAAGTGATTGTGCAGGCTCAGAAGGAACTTGAAAAGACCTTAAGTTGACACCTCAGGTTGATCCTTGGCACAGAGACAGCCTACAACAATTTTAAAAAGTATAAGGAAAAAAAAAAACAAAACAGCAAACCCTGAAAAAGAGAGAGAATCTGATTTCCAGAGCTACCACATTATCAGATTCAAGTGTCTGATTCTCAACAAAAAATCACAATCCATACAAAGAAACAGAAAACTATAATCCATCCAAACAAAAATTAATTAACAGAAACTGTCTGCAAAAAACACCTGATGACAGATCTACCTGACAAAAACTTCAAAACGACTGTCTTAAAGATGCTCAAAGAACTGAAGGAAGATGTAGATAAAGTCAATAAAATAATATATGGCAAAGGATCAGTGAAACCAAAGTTGGTTCTTTGAAAGGATAACAAGATCAACAGGATGCTGGCTAGATTAACAACAACCACAACAACAGAAGTTCCAAATAAGCATAAACAGAAATGACAAAGATGTAACATTACAACCAATCCCAGAGAAATACAAAAGATCCTCAGAGACTATTATGAACACCTCTTGATATGGTTTGCATTTGTGTCCCCACCAAAATCTCATGTCAAATTATAATTCCCAGTGTTGAATGTGGGGCCTGGTGGGAAGTGATTGGATCATGGGGGCAGACTTTCCCCTTTGGTGCTGTTCTCATGACAGAGTCCTCATGAGATCTGCTTATTTAAAAGTGTGTGGCACCTCCCTCCTCTTTCTTTTCCTCCTGCTCTGGCCATGTGAAGACATGCGTGCCCGCTTCTCATTCACTTTCCACCATAATTGTAAGTTTCCTGAGACCTCCCCAGCCATGTTCCCTGTACAGCCTGTGGAACCATGAGCCAATTAAACCTCTTTTCTTTATAAGTTACCCAGTCTAAAGTATTTCTTTATAGCAGTGCAAGAGTGGAGTAATACACCTCTATGCACACAAACTAGAAAATCCAGATAAATTCCTCAAAACAGACACCTTCCTAAGATTGAATCAGGAAGAAACTGAAACTCTGAACAGAACATGAGTTAAAAAACTGAATCAGTGAAGTAAAACAACAACAACAACAACAACAAAAAAAAAACTACCAATCAGAAAACGCCCTAAACAGATGGATTAACAGCCAAATTCTATCAGACACACAAAGAAGAGCTGGTACCAATCCCACCGAAACTATTCCCCAAAATAGAGGCAAAGAACTCTATCCTAACTCATTCTATAAATCAAGCATCATTCTGATAATATAAAAAAAAAACTGCAGTTCGATATCCCTGATGAATATAGATATAAAAATCCTCAACAATATACTAGCAAACTAAATCCAACAATACATAAAATCTTCATTTACCAGGATCTAGTCGACTTTATTCCCAGGATGCAAGGTTGGTACAACATATGCCAATCAATAAATGTGATTTCCCACGTAAACAGAATCAAAAACAAAAACCATAAAATCATCTCAATAGATTAAGAAAACGCTTTCGAGAGAGTGCAACATCCCTTCATGATGAAAACCCTCAAAAAATTAGGCATCAAGAAACATACCTCAAAATAGTAAGAAACACTGATGACAAACCCACAGCCAATGTCATACTGAATGGACAAAAGCTGAAACCATTCACCTTAAGAACTGGAACATGACAAAGATGCACATTCTTACCACTCTTATTCAACATAGTACTGGAAGTCCTAGTCAGACCAATAAGTCAAGAGAAAGAAATAAAAGGCATCAAAATAGAAAAAGAAAAAGAATAAGTCAAATTATCTCTTTGCTAATGATATGATTCTATACCTAGAAAACCCTAAAGATCCCATCAAAAGGCTTCTGGAACTGATAAATGACTTGGATCAAGTTTCAGGATACAAAATCAATATACAAAAATCAGTAGCATTTCTATACAAAATAACATTCAAGCTGAGAGCCAAATCAAGAAAGCAACCCCATTCAAAACACACACACACACACACACACACACATATACACACACACACACAGTACCTAGGAATACATCTAACCAAGGAGTTGAAAGATCTCTAGGAGGATAACTACAAAACATTGCTGAAAGAAATCACAGATAACACAACAAATGGAAAAACACTCCTGCTCATGGATTGGATGAAGCAATATCATAAAAATGGCCATACTTCCCAAAGCAATCTATAGATTCAACACCACTCCTATCAAAATAGCAATCTCATTTTTCATGAATTAAAAAAAACCTATTCTAAAATGTACATGGAACTGAAAAAGAGCCCAAATAGCCAAAGCAATCCTAAGCAAAAAGAACAAAGCCAAGAGTATTACATTACCTGACTTCAAACCAAACTACTCTACAAGGCTACAGTAACCAAAAAAAGCACAGTACTGGCACAAAAACAGACAAAAAAAAATTAAAAAAAAAAACCAATGGGACAGAATAGAGGACCCAGAAATAAAGCCACACACAACCAACCATCTGATCTTTGACAAAGTCAACAAAAATAAGCAATGGGGAAAGGACTCCCTATTCAATAAATGGTGGTGGCATAACTGGCTAACCATACACAGAAGAATCAAATTGGACCCTGAACTAAAGATTGATTAAAGACTTAAATATAAAACCTCAAACTACAAAAACCCTACAAGAAAACCTAGAAAATGTCCGTCTTGACATTGGCCTGGGCAAAGAATTTATGGCTAAGTCATCAAAAGCAATTGCAATGAAAACAGAAATTGACAAGTGGGATTCAGTTAAACTAAAGAGCCTCTGCACAGCAAAATAAACAATCAACATAGTAAACAGATAACCTACAGAATGGGAGAAAATATTCACAAACTGTGCATCCTACAAAGGTCTAATATCCAGAATCTGTAAGAAACTTAAATCAACAAGCAAAAGAACAAAAACAAAAACAAAACATTAAAAAGTGGGCAAAAGGCATAGACAATTCTCATGAGAAGACATACAAGTGGCCAAAAACTACGTGAAAAAATGCTCACCATCGCTAATCATCAGAAAAATTCAAATCAAAAACCACAATGAGATACCAACAATTTCACACCAGTCAGAATGGCTATTATTACGAAGTCCAAAAATAACAGATGCTAACAAGTCTGCAGAGAAAATGGAATGTTTACACACTGCTGGTAGGAAAGCAAACTAGTTCAGCCACTGTGGAAAGCAGTTTGGAGACTGCTCAAAGAACTAAAAATAGAACTATCACTCAACTGAGCAATATCATTACTGGATCTGTAAACCCCAAAATAAATCATTCTACCAAAAAGACACATACACTTATATGTTCATCACAGCACTATCCATAATAGCAAAGACTTGGAATCAACGTAGGCACCCTTCAACAGTGGACTGGATAAAGAAAATGTGGTACATATACATCATGGAATACTACACAGCCATAAAAAAGAACAAAATCATGTCCTTTGCAGCAACACAGATGGAGTTGGAAGCCATTATCCTACACAAATTAACACACAAACAGAAAACCACATACTTCATGTTCTCACTTACAAGTGGGAGCTAAACACTGGGTACACATGAACATAAAGATAGGAACAACAGACACTGGAGACTACAAGGCGGGAAATGATGGAGAGAAACAAGGGTTTAAAAACTACCTAGTGGGTACTATGTTCACTGCCCTAGTGACAGGTTAAATCATGCCACAAACCTCAGCATCATGTAATATACCCATGTAAAAAATCTGCATATTATACCCCTTGAATCTAAAATAAAAGTTGAGAAAATAATGTGTGGATAAAATGAAAATATCAATAAAGAGGCAGAGAACCTAAAAGAAAAAGGAAATTATGATGCTTAAAAGTATAATAAATAAAATAAAAAACACACTAGAGAAATTAGAAGGTAAACTTGAGCAGGCAGATGAATCAGCAAACTTGAAGATAGAACACTGGAAATATCTATTCTGAGGAAAGGAAAGAGAAAAGACTGAAGAAAAGTGAACAGAGCCAAAGGGACCTGTGGAACACCATCAAGTGAACTAACAAGTGCATTGTGGGAGTACCAGAAGGAGGAGAGAGAGAGAGAGAGAGAAAGAGAGGCATAAAGAGTATTTTAAGAAATAATGGATGAAAACTTCCCAAATTTGATAAAGATGGAATTTTGTGACATCAAAAACTGAAAGGATTGGGAACAAAGCTGTAAAAGGGGTATAGTTTTTGTATGTTACTGAAGTTAATCTGACATAAAATCAAATTAGATTTTGAAAAGAAAATGAAATGAAAGAAACAAAAAAGAAATTTAAATGTTTCACTTCAAAAAAGGATCAATGAAACACAAAGGGAGACTAATGCAGAAAATGAGAGAAGGCTAGAAAGCATATAAAAAACAAACAGCAAAATGACAAAGTAAATCCCTCCTTATCAGTAATTACTCTGAATGTAAGTAGATCAAACTCTCCAATCAAAAATACCAAGATCAGTAGAATGGATCAAAACATATGATCCAACTATATTCCGTCTACATGAGACTCACTTTAGATTGAAAAACACAAGTAAACTGAATGTGAAAGGATGAAAAAAGATAGTTCATATAAATCATAACCAAAAAAGAGCAGAAGTAGCTATATTAATATCAGACAAAATAGACTTTAAATCAGAAAAGATTACAAGAGACAATGAATATTATTTATAAATAAAAGGTTCAATTCAGCATGAAAACATAACAATCATAAATGTTCATACACCTAATAATAGATCATCAAATTATATGAAGCAAAAACTGACAAACATAAAGGGAGACATAGAAAGTCCTATAACTTTACTGCAATAATGCACTTCTGTGCACCCTATTTTATTTCAGCCTTGGATTACAGAATGTAATGACAGCTTTAAAGGCTATCTTAATTGTAGCTTTCATTTGTAAACCAGGAAACTAAAGCCCACAAAATAAACAAACTTATCAAAGCTTACATTTCTAGACAGTGGCAGAGATGATTACTTTAGCTTTAATTTATAAACTAGGAAACCAAGGCCCACAAAATAAACAAACTTATCAAAGCTTATATTTCTAGACAGTGGCAGAGATGAAATCATGCATGAACCATCTGCATTCCTACACCGAAGGTCTTTGCACTATATTCCATGTCATTTACCAGTGGTGAAGTTTCTGACGCTAAGTTACACTTGTGGAAGGATTCATCTTTGATAATAGAGGATACATCATGAACTGCATTGATACAGTTTGGCTCTGTGTCCCCACCCAAATCTCATCTTGTAGCTCCCATAATTCCCATGTGTTGTGGGAGGGACCTGGTGGGAGATGGTTGAATCATGGGCGCAGGTCTTTCCCATGCTGTTCTCATAATGGTGGATGGGTCTCATGAGATCTGATGGTTTTAAAAACAGGAGTTTCCCTGCACAAGCTCTCTCTCTCTGCCTGCTGCCACCCATGTAAGATGTAACTTGCTCCTCCTTGCTTTCCACAATGATTGTGATACCTCCCCAGCCATGTAGAACTGTAAGTCCATTAAACCTCTTTCTTTTGTAAATTGCCCAGTCTCGGATATGTTTTTATCAGTAGCATGAGAAAAGACTAATACAGTAAATTGGTACTAATACAGTAAATTGGAGTGGTGTGCTGCTGAACAGACTAATAAAGTAAATTGGAGTGGGGTGCTGCTGAAAAGATACCCAAAAATGTGGAAGCGACATTGCAACTGGGTAACAGACAGGGCTTGAAACAGTTTGGAGGGCTCAGAGACAGGAAAATGTGGGAAAGTTTGGAACTTCCTAGAGACTTGTTGAATGGCTTTGACCAAAAGCCTGATAGTGATATGGACAATGAAATCCAGGCTGAGATGGTCTCAGATGGAGATGAGGTACTTGTAGGGAACTGGAGCAAAAGTGACTCTTATGTTTTAGTAAAGATGCTGGTGGCATTCTGCCCCTGCCCTAGAGATGTGTGGAACTTTGAACTTGAGGGAAATGATATAGGGTATCTAGCAGAATAAATTTCTAAGCAGCAAAGCATTCAAGAGGAGACTTGAGTGCTGTTAAAGGCACTCAGTTTTAAAAGGGAAGCAGAGCATAAAAATTCAGAAAATCTGCCGCCTGACAATGTGATAGGAAACAAAGTACCATTTTCTGAGGAGAAATTCAAACTGGTTGAATAAATTTGCATAAGTAATAAGTAGCCAAATGTTAATCCCCAAGACAATGGGAAAAATGTCTCCAGACCATGTCAGAGGTCTTCACTGCAGCCTCTCCCATCACAGGCCCAGAGGCCTAGGAGAAAAAAAGTGGTTTCGTGGGCTGAGTCCAGGGTCTCCATGCTTTGTGCAGCCTAGGGACTTAGTGCCCTGCATCCCAGCCACTCCAGCCATGGCTCAAAGGGGCCAACAGGGAGCTTGGGCCGTGGCTTCAGAGGGTTGAAGCCCCAAGTCTTGGCAGCTTCCACATGGAGTTGAGCCTGTGAGTGCACAGAAGTAAAGAACTGGGGTTTGGGAACCTCCGCCTAGATTTCAGAGGATGTATAAAGACGCCTGGATGCCCAGGCAGAAGTTTGCTGCAGGGGCAGGGCCCTCATTGAGAAACTCTGCTAGTGTAGTGTGGAAGGGAAATGTGGGGTTGGAGCCCTCAACAGAGTCCCTACTGGGGCACCACCAAGTGGAGCTGTGAGAAGAAGGCCACCATCCTCCAGACCCCAGAATGGTAAATCCATTGACAGCTTGCACTGTGCACCTGGAAAAGCCACACACACTCAATGTCGGCCCATGAAAACAGCCAGGAGGGAAGCTGTACCCTGCAAAGCCATAGGGACGGAGCTGCCCAAGACCATGGGAACCCATATCTTATATCAGCATGACCTGGATATGAGACCTGGGGCCAAAGGAGATCATTTTGAAGCTTTAAGATTTGACTGCCCAGCTAGATTTCAGACTTGCATGGGGTCTTTAGCCCCTTTGTTTTGACCAATTTCTCCCATGTGGAAGAGCTGTATTTACCCAGTGCCTTTTACAGGATCATAGGTGAAAGGAACTTGCCTTGTCTCAGATGAGACTTTGGACTGTGAACTTTGGAGTTAATGCTAAAATGAGTAAAGACTTTGGGGGACTGTTGGGAAGGCATGATTGGTTTTGAAATGTGAAGACAGGAGATTTGGGAGGAGCCAGGGATGGAATGATATGGTTGGGCTCAGAGTTCCCACCCAACTCTCATCTTGTAGCTCCCATAATTCCCATATGCTGTGGAAGGGACCCAGTGGGAGACTGTTGAATCATGAGGGCTAGTCTTTCCCATGCTATTCTCCTGATGGTGAGTGGGTCTCATGAGGTCTGATGGTTTTAAAAATGGGAGTTTCCCTGCACAAGCTCTCTCTCTTTGCCTGCTGCCATCCATGTAAGACGTGACTTGTTCCTTCTTGCTTTCCACCATGATTGTGAGGCCTCTACAACCATGTGGAACTGTTAAGTTCATTAAACCTCTTTCTTTTGTAAATTGCCCAGTCCTGCGTACATCTTTATTAGCAGGATGAAAATAGACTAATATATGCACACTAATCCATCATAATAGAGTCATTCTCTTCCTTCAGTTTGGCTTCACTAGAACATATGCATCTGGATGAAGGATGGCACCATACAAAGAATATTGCATCCGATACCTCACATCACAAAGGGTATAAAGGAAGTTGAATGGGCCAATTGGAAAAATGCTAGAAAATCAAAAAATAGGTACCAGCCTATGCAGTCAAAGGCAAACTCTTTTTCCAAGTCTACAAGGAGTTTTTCACTTGAGACAAGCAGATCATTCTATATTCCAAATACAGCAACCTGAGCACCACTGCCAATTCCCCAATCCCTTTGAAAAAAGAAAAAAATTAATGCAGCCAATTGTTGAAATACTTGAATAACTGATTGTACAACCACAACCAAAGGTTTGCCATGGTCCCCAAGCAGAACAAAAAAGACACTAAAAACACAGATTTCTCACTAGGTATTTTTATAGGGGATAAAAGTAAACAATCAATGAAAGTGTCTCATGGAGAAGGAAATACAAATAGATAATTTTAGTGCCAGTTTTATCTGTCAGTAAAATCTGCAGCAATAAGCTCTGTTAATACCACAAGAGGAACCAATCAATGTATCGTGAGTTCAATGCACTAACTGACTGTTCATGTGTTTATCTAAATACTCAAGAGAGAAGGAGCCCAGATACCATGAAGTCCAGGAAAGAGTCCAAGTACCATGGGTCCTGAAGGCCTGCTGAAGTTTGGGTACCTAAAATAGGAACAGACTCCCGGGCACATCTCTGAGGCTGGTAAGCTAACATGAGTAAAATCACTCCACTGGAACTCCTGCTCCAAGTCTTTCTTCTGTAGCCTAATCCATTTGCCTCGGTATGCAGAACATCAAGAGTCACTTGGTGATCCTGAGTTAAAACAGCTCGAGCCTAACAAGGGAACAGTTCCTCTGGAATCACCAGTCACTTATTTCTGGGACAGTAGTAGGGAAAAGAAAAGAGACTTCAGGATCAAACAAACCCAAGTGTGATCAAACCCAACTGCATTTACTAGCCCTGTAATCTGGGGCAAATATCTTAACCTCTCACCTCCCTTGCCTTCTTTATCTACAAATGGTCTTCTTATGAACCCTTCAGGACTGTAGTAAAGACCAAATGGTATCATGAATATATGTGAAATACTAGCATACTTAGGCAGTCAGAAAACATAGTCATTAATATTGTCATTGTTATTGTCATTGTTTTGGCTCAACATGCTGACAGGCCAGAATATGGGCCTCAGGAGCATGAACCCTATCCACACTACCCTCATTTGCAACCACCCAGCTTATAAAAGGCAGAAAATAAAAATGCATGAGAGCCATCAGAGAAAACAACAACAACAAAAAAGAAACACCAGTTTTTTCATGGAAGGAAGAGAAAAAGTTAAAAAGCAAGGCTGCACACCTTACCTGGGCAGGAGACTGAAAGGAATTGTTGGCCTTCCTGACAGACCCAATGGCCTCCTGCCCACAGTAGGTCCTCTACATTCTCTGAGGATTTTCACATAGCTTTTTCAGGTAGCTCAAAATGCCAGCAATTAGTGATTCAAGTGTCCTCTTCAGAAAATGCAAATACCTTCGTTCAGGTTAGGGTTATGCTTATATTATGTCTCATTCATACACTTAGAAGAAGTTGTTCAGTCAAACTGCTCCCCTCTAAGAAAATGCTAGAATGCCACAAAGCACTTTTTATGAGTAAAGCAGGCTGCGGGGAGGAGAAAGGAGGACTGAAAAAGGCAGCGAGGGGAAACAGGGGAAGTCTAAGGTGGTGAAAATCTGATAGAAGAATGTGAAACCAAAACTAGCTTATTTAAAAATCTCCCTAAAAGATGACTGCCAATTCTACAGCAAAAGACTCCTCTCCACATTTTCTCTCATTTTCCTTGGTTCTGTCCTCCTAAGAACCAGAGTGGAGTCTCCTATCATAGTACCACAGTGAAATTTTTAACATGGGTTCAAGGAGATTCTGTGAGCCAGCTAAGAAATTTAACTTTAGTTGTTTAACTTTTTTTGTATGAGAAAACTAGTTCTGAGTTCATACAACTCACTTACATAAGTCACTGAAAGCAGAAAGTAAACTGTCTTGCTTAAGATCAACAATTATTTCATTAAACAAATAAATGAACAGATACATCAACAAATGAATAAATTAAGGGGAGGGCTTCCTGATTAGACTCACCCCTGATCTCAGTTTGGTTTTCTTCTAAGCACCTATCACCATCTGACCTCATAATTCATTGACCATCTTCCCTACTAGAACATAAACTCTATGAGGGTACAAACTGGTTTTTACACTACTGTTGTCCTCACCTATAATAGTGTATGGCAAATTGTACATGCTCAGTAAATATTTGTTGAATAAGTGAATAGCTGAACTGAACAGGAAATGTCTCTATAAGACCTTTGAGGTTTAACCCTAAGACTTTAAGAGTAATGCTCCAGTTCCCTCCCTCGCCCAGTTCCCCATTTCTAGTTTCACACCAGAAGAACATGACTACGTTCTGAGCTTGTGATCATTTCCCTTTAAATAATGCCCTATGGATCACTTCGAAACACTAGAGATTACTTGTCATGATACTGGTTACTGTCCCTACTTTTCCCCTGGGATTTTTTTTTTCTTAATGGCAAACCTTCAAAGAGGTTCCACCTGCACCAAAAATAGAAAATTCCACATAAATATAATGGCTTTCCCTGCTCTTTTTTAAGTACCTTAAACTCATTATCTTTTATCTTTGAGAAGATCTCTGAAGCCAAATCACACAGAACTGAAAGATATTCTCATTTCTTTTTCCATAGGAAAAACAAAAACAAAAAACTCTGCTATTTAGAAAAAATGCTGGGAGGGGGCACTATAACCTATTGCACCTATAAGTGTCTGTAAGTCACTTCCCCTGGCACCATCTGCTTCCAATATTACAAGTCTCCTCTATTTGAATAATGACACAATACCTTTTCCCCCTAATTGATTACTATCTTTTTAATTACAAAAAGGTCTTTACTACTAAACCAATGGCAAAAAGCAGGTCATACTAACTGTTATAAAATAATATAGCATTTCCCCACTTGCAAAGATTCATACATTAAATGTCTGATAATTCTCAAAATCAGTTAGGCCATCAAAAGTCAAAGCCAAGCTGCTTGTAAATCACATTTAAAAATCTGACAGTAAGCTGGGCGCCGTGGCTTATGCCTGTAATCCCAGCACTTTGGGAGGCCGAGGCGGGTGGATCACGAGGTCAGGAGATTGAGACCACCCTGGCTAACATGGTGAAAGCCCGTCTCTACTAAAAATACAAAAAGAAATTAGCCAGGCGTGGTGGCTCACACCTGTAATCCCAGCACTTTGGGAGGCTGAGGCGGGTGGATCACGAGGTCAGGAGATTGAGACCATCCTGGCTAACACGGTGAAAACCCATCTCTACTAAAAATACAAAAAATTAGCCGGGCATAGTGGCGGGCGCCTGTGGTCCCAGATACTCAGGAGGCTGAGGCAGGAGAATGGCATGAACCCAGGAGGCGGAGCTTGCAGTGAGCTGAGATCCTGCCACTGCACCTCAGCCTGGGCAACAGAGCAAGACTCTGTCTCAAAAAAAAAAAAAAAATCTGACAGTAATAATGTCTTTATATTCAGTCAACAAGCTTCCTCATGTAGATAAATAAGTAAAATAAAATAAACTTCACTTTATAACTCTAATCTCATTATAAGAATTCGAACACAGAAAAGGAAATTTATTAACTAATTACTATGAAGTTATATGGCTTGGTAGTAAACATTCAAAGCATGCAAAAAGACGTGGAATTCTTCAGTTGGAGACAATACTCAGGAAATAATATAGTTTTTTAAATAATTAATTATAACATACTCAGTCTAAGATATTTCTTTAAAAACAATGCATAATTAAAATTATTCACATATATCTGAATGAGTAAACAGATTTTGAATGGAACCAAATACATTAAAGTGTACTTGTGAGTTTTTAGAACACTTTCTTATATAATTCAGTACTAGTCAAATTAACTCTTCATTCCTAGAGACTTAAGGGCAAAAGGTTGCAAGGCTTAAGTAGTAGTTTTGAAAAATTAACACTTTACTACTCAGAATACATGTGAATAAATGTGCCACATCTACAATCTGCAAAACAAGTTCACTTCTTTCTGCTGTGGGTGCTATTCCTGAAAAAATCAAAGCGATTATAAAACAGGCACCTTGTTTTTTTAGACATGACCCACTGTGTTGCAGCGAAGGCTGCGGAGGGAAAAAAGTTCTATTGCAGCAAGCAAATGGCTACACTTTTCTGAAAGAATGAAATCCAAACTAAATCACATCGTGTGTAGCTCAGAAAGGGACATGAAGATACTCTTCTTAATGTAAGGCAAGATAGGTGATATATCTCCTAATGGTAAAAGCTGCAAGATAAGAAAGAGGTCTTGCCTGAGAACCAGCTACTCAGAGTTGCTGCAATCAACCCAAGAAACACTACATTGAGATATCACGTTAATTCAAACTTGAGCTCATTCAGCTCAAATATCACCTGGGGAAGTTGTTGCCCAGAGCTGATACAGGAAGATACTTGTTTTACAGCTATAACTTTAGAAATTAAATTTAAATTACTGATATAATTTTAAGATTCCATGTATTGCAAATGCCTTTTCACTTAATAAACATACCTATGTGTATTTAAACATGTACAATTTAGGAACTGCCTTTAAAATATTACCTCCTGTCCTTTTAAGTAGGTGTTCTTCCTCTCCCTTCATAGATAAGGAAACAGATACTTAAATAATTTAAATGACATTCCTAAGGGCACTGGATAATAAGTTGACTCAAATTTAGGTTATTTGACTCCAGGAGCAACTGACATTCCACTAAACCAACTTTCCAGCTTTTCCCAGATCTTTATCTTCCCCAATTATGGGTTAATTCCGTAATTAGTTTAAAAATTCCACACTTACTAAAAGAATATACCAGTCCAATTTTCGAACCTAGATGAAATGGACCTCCCCTTCCATTACTTACTTTTTAATATTTGTATTAAAAATTATTTCAAAATATACTAAACAAGCCAAATTAAACTCATTTGTCTGCCAGAATAAAGTACAAATGGCAAAATTTAGCCCAACAAACTATGACTAGCACCTCTTAAACTGAATATAACTTATAGCAAATGACAGCTTTGAAGAAAAAAAAATGGAATGGAGAAAAGAGGGCTTTCTGTTTGATTGGTGCCACTTCTCACAAACTGAGATGGTTTTAGCTTGGTAATCTCAAATACCAGATGCCCTGACTTGTACAAACTATATCCTGACACACCTTCACTAAAAGATTTTATACCATACATAACCTGACCTTACCTCTTCAAGTGTTTTTAAATTGTATTTATAATTTTTTTATATTTTATTTTTGTGCATATGTAGTAGATGTATATACTTATGTGGTACATGAGATATTCTGAGACAGGCATGCAATGCATAATAATCACATCATGGAAAATGGGGTATCCATCCCCTCAAGCATTTACTCTTTGTGTTACAAACAATCCAATTATATTATTTTATTTAAAATGTATAATTATTATTGACTATAGTCACCCTGTCATGCTATCAAATACTAGGGTTTGGTTTGGTTTTGTTTTCGTTTTTGTTTTTTCTGAGATGGAGTCTTGCTCTGTCACCCAGGCTGGAGTGCTGTGATGTGATTTTGGCTCACTGCAACCTCTGCCTCCCGGGTTCAAGCGATTCTCCTGTCTCCGCCTCCAAAGTAGCTGGGACTACAGGTGTGTGCCACCACACCCAGCTAATTTTTTTGTATTTTAGTAGAGATGGGATTTCACCATATTGGCCAGGCTGGTCTCAAACTCCTAACCTTGTTATCCACCCACCTTGGCCTCCCAAAGTGCTGGGATTATAGTCGTGAGCCACTGTGCCTGGCCCAAATACTAGGTTTTATTCATTCATTCTAACTATTCTTTTGTACCCATTAACTGTCCCAGCCTCCCTTCTGTCCCCTCACTACCCTTCCCAGCCTCTAGTAACCCTCCTTCTACTCTGTATCCCCATGGGTTCAATTGCTTTGATTTTTAGATTCCACAAATAACTGAGGACATGTGAGGTTTATCTTTCTGTGCCTGTTTTATTTCACTTAACATAATGACCACCAGTTCCACCCATGTTGTTCCAAATGACTAAATCTCTTTCTTTTTTGTGGCTGACTAGCAAATACCACATTTTCTTTATCCATTCATCTGTTGACGGACACTTAGGTTTCCTCCAAATCTTGGCTATTGTGAACAGGGCTGCAAAAAACATGGGAGAACAGATATCTCTTCAATACACTGATTTCCTTTTCGGGGAGGGGGGTGGTATTTCTGTACCCTCAGCAGTGGGACTGCTGTATTGTATGGTAGCTCTATTTTTAGTTTTTTGAGGAACATCCAAACTGTTCTCCATAGTGATTGTAATAATTTACATTCCCACCAATAGTGTATGAGGGTTGCCAATTCTCCAAATAATCACCAGCATTTATTTGCCTTTTGGATAGAAGCCATTTTAACTAGGTGAGATGATATCTCACTGTAGTTTGCATTTCTCTGATGATCAATGATGTTTAGCACCTTTTCTTATGTCTGTTTGCCATTTGCATGTCTTCAAGAAATACCTATTCCAATCTTTCCCCATGTTTTAATCAGATAATTAGATTTTTTTTCCTATAGAGTTGTGTAAGCTCCTTATATATTCTGGTTATTAATCCTTTGTCAGATGGGTCATTTGCAAATATTTTCTCCTATTCTGTGGGTTGTCTCTTCACTTTATTTTTTCCTTTGCTGTGCAGAAGCTTTTTAACTTGATGTGATCCCATTTGTCCATTTTTGCTGTGGCTGCCTGTGCTTATGGGGTATTACTCAATAAATCTTTGCCCAGACCGATGTCCTGGAGAGTTTCCCCAAGCATTTTCTTTTGGCGGCTTCATAAAACAAAATTAGCTTTGACTTTGATAAAGACAGCAACATTCTAATAATCTGAATTATTTTGCCACTCTTTATAGAGAATTTCTTACTGAATGGCTGTAGCATAGTTCAAGGTTTCCTTTCAATCACCTCACAAGTGGGAAATACACATATATTAAGTAAAACTGGCAGAAAAGAGTCAGTTTAGGAGTCAAAAATTAAACAGCTTATTTATTTCACATTACAGACATTTAGGTAGGTCCCTTTAGTATCCTTTCAATATCATTCTCTTTGTCTTTTAATTAATAAGGTAGGTACATATTATTACTCATAGATTAAGGCAAAAACAAGATATCAGATATAAAAGTGTTTTGAAGACAGTGGAATTAAAAATGAAGTGGTTTTAACTAAATATTTCACCAATATGAGGAAAATCCCACTCCCCTGGAGATCGAAATGAGCCATCTTATTCTTCAGTTCTATTGTCTGTTCTATCGTCAACTCTAGTTTTTCCTTTCTCTCGAAATCTCTCACTCTACTTTGTTTAAAACAAACAAGCATGGATTTTAGACTTCTGGACTCGATTTGGCTTTTAGGACTAAATGTTGAATGTTAGACAAGCCCTGAGGAGATTTATATCTCCTCTGATCACAAAGTGACATATTATAACTGAAGAAAAACAGAGAAAAATAAATAAAGATATAATGAAAAATTAACCAAAGTACATGAGGAAAATGTGACAACCTTCTCTCCCCCTTGGTTTTCAAGCTTCCTTGGAGCATTCTACAATCTTACTCTTTTTCAGGTTTGGATAATGTCCATTATATCTGGAGAACTGTGTCATGAAATACACACTTTTTCCCCAACAAAAATCAGTAGAGCATACAGAGTTTTTCAAAGAATCTAAGGTAAAATAATATAATCTCAAAAACACAAATGAATAACGGCAGTTTTAGCTACTTCTGGGAAACAATGTGGTGGTGAAGAACAGCTAAAATAATTTTTATGGTAAACCTGAAGTTAAACAGTATGATATTGTGTGCGGTAAAAATGCTTGTTTTTTCAAAATTCAGATGTAAGGTATCAGTTAAAGCATAAAATTTTTCTCTGAAGTAAGATAATAAAGAAAATATTTATTTTATAAATTAAATAAGAGAACTTAGCCACATTAATTAAAACATTTTGTCACTACTGGACAATGACCATATGTGAATTCCACAGGCAACATATTAATATTCCAACCAATATAACACAGTCAGAAGACAACTATATAACTGTACAGAAAGAATCAAAGAACATATATATATATTAAGTTTCATTCCAACCTACAAAGAGCCTGCACTTAAAAGTCTTAAAGGTTTCCTGAATCATGGAATCTCAACTTACCTGCCAATTAATCCAGTTCTCTCTTTTTAAATGCAGACTCCAACCTTAAACAGAAGGCATATTCTAGCTGACTTCTAAGTGTGTCCAAAGCATACCTCAGAGAGCCAAGTGGTCTGTGTTCAATACCTATTCTTTCTATAGAATCTCAAAAGTGGCAGTATGATGAAAAGAAAAGCTACTTTTTCTCCTAAAAATACCCCCCTTCATCATCAGTGTGTTGTCATTTTTGCATCACAAAGAATAGACATTCTAAATGTTCCCTTCCACACAGAAAGACATAAGAGAGAATGTGAGTATGAGTGAGAGTGTGTAGGTAAGTTGAGGGATAGTTTGCTATCCAAAATGAATCATTTTGAAGATGACTTTGTAAAGAAGTAATATAGTTAAAAATCTCAAGAGCATGAGATTGAGGAGGGCAGGGAAATAAAGGACCTAGGAATGGAAAAGAGTTAACAGCCCATGTGAATAACATAGCACAAACCTACCAGGTTTATTTCTGTGAATTCTCACACAGTTTGCTGGAAGATGCTCCTGAATTGTTTATAGGTCTAATCTTTAAGCCACATGCTCAAATAATTGTATCAGGTTTTCCCCCCAAATAGCTGTTCTTTAATGAACAGAGAAATCAGGGTAGTATCCTCCTGTCTTTAACCATTTTCTGTATTTTTCTGAGACACAAGTCACATGTGCCAACAACATCTAACTATAAAAATATACACAAAACTGCTACCAATGTATATCTATATTATCAATTGGTCAGGAAAAACTTACTGGACACTAATATGCAAGATGCAATGGACTCATGTGCCAAAGAATCACAGGATCAAATGCATTATGAAGATAAGGGAAGCATCACCAGAGTGGGTGACTGTTTGTCTTATTCCCTTTGTAATTACCTCTAGTCTCCAACACAACAGAATAGGCACTGAATAAACAGCCGTTAAATAAATAGGTTTTTTTAAAATGGTGCAAATAAGGAAATCAAAATGGTTACAGTTTGCTGTGGTTCCAACGTCCCTATAAAACCCATGTTGAAACTGAATTACTATTGTGATGGTATTAGAAGCTGAGGCCATTAAGAAGTGAAGTGATTCATCCTTGAGGGCTCTGCCCTCATGAATGGATTTATGTCTTTATTGTTTGAGTTGGTTCATTATCACAAGAGTGGCTTGTTATAAAAAGCAAGTTTGGCCCCATTTGCTCTCTTGCTTTTGAGCTCTCTTGCATTTCCATCTTCTGTCATGGGATGATGAGGCACAAATGCCCTCACCATATGTCAATGCCACGCTCTTAGATTTCCCAGTCTCCAGAACCAGAAGACAAATAAAGTTCTGTTCATTATAAATTACTCAGTCTGTGATATTCTGTTACAGCAGCATAAAAGGACTAAGACATGGTTGTTTTAGTTACCTGGGTCTTGCCACTTACCATGTCTCTGTGCTGCTTTCTGGCAACAGCAGCAAATCCCAAATTCCACTTACCTGGCTTCTCTCCAGATTACCTATAACAACAAACCTTCTGCTAGTCCTGTATGTTACTGACTATCCATTAACTTCCATACATCTGGGATACAATAATAATTGACAATTCAGGTTTATAAGATATTTTTTAACCTAGAAAGATTGTCTTGCACTCAGTATTCTTTGAATATAATTTTTAAAAAATCTATAATTTTGCATTATCCAAAAATCAAAATGAACAAAAAGTACTGTTTTCAGCCATGTCAGATGATGATGTTTATTACAGATAAATCATTCTGAAATTTCACATAAGATAAAGTGATACAGAAAAGCAGCCATAAAAATTTAGAAGCTATATTGCTGATATTTCAGACCAAAAAAAAAAAAGGTTTAACCTTGAATACCTTAACTATGCCATTTAAACATCTAACATATCCCTCTCCATCAGCTTCTTACTGAAATAACAGGCACTACAATCATTTTATATACAAAGCAGTCAAATGGTTAATTTCTTAATTGGCTACGTATTAGCATCATATACCATTCTATACTATGTAGTTGGTTTTTATTTAGCAGCTATACATGAGAAAAATTCTCCTTAATCTTCCATGATCAAATATTTTCCCCATGTCTTTCCTAAGATATTTTATTGAGACATATTACAAAGACATATGAGAAACTATTACACACTCAAGGTGTTTAAGTCTAGTTGGGAAAATAAGATCTGTGAGACAAAGAATAAAATACAGTGAAAGCACAGACAAAAGGAGGCAGACACAACTCTGCATGTTTAGGGGAGAGACAGATGACACAACAGGGGATGGGGGCAGTGCAGAAAGAGGTGATTAGAAATGACTTCCAGGAGTTGATGCTTACAGGATGGATGGGATTTAGACAGAGAAAAAGGAAAGGCATAGAGCAGATCTAAACAGGATTTACAAAGAAGAATGTGGCAGAGGTAGGAGGTTACTAAATGGCATCATTGGAGAATCAAGTTAGAATGATAAAAGTATTGTGGCAGCTTGTGAGCACCGGATTTTGTTTTATAGACAAGTCTGGAGCACTTGAAGGCATGAACTGAGACTTATATACCAAGTGCCTAATGAAGCCTCACACATGGTGGACACTCAAATCTAACAATCCTCACTTCCCCTCCACTTGACATTGGCCTCTTACACCCATAGTCTCACCCCCAAAATTGTTCTAAGAACTGCTGGACACTTATAATTTTCTAATGTCATCTGGCTGCAATCTTTTATCTTTCTGGCTCTCTCAACTGCTCATTCCCACTATACCTGCTCCTCAATTGGATAGAAGCTTCAATCTCATAATTTTGGCACTGTCTATAAATTCCTTCCCAACATCATTCTGTAGTGGGGGAGACAGAAAATAACAAAGCAAATAAATGTATGTTTAGAACTGTTAATGTACTATAAGAAAAACAATGTAACAAAAGAGAGTTGCAGGGAAGGCCCATTTACATAGTGGTTGGGGAAAGAATCTTCAAGGAGTGACATTTAAATGTCACAAGATAAGACATGAAGAAAGGGAAGAAACTTTGAAAAGAACAGGGAATAGAATATCCTAGCAAGAGGAACAGCAAAAGCTCACCGTGCAAAGGCTCAACTGAGAAAGATCCTGGCCTCATCTGTGCACAGAAAGGTGGCCAGTGTTGCTGGAATTCAATGGGTAAAGGATGAAATACAATGAAATGAGGTTTGAGAGGGTGGCAGGGGCCACATCACACAAGACTCTGTGAGCTATGACAAAGACTCTGAAATTTAGGAAAATGGTAATGGGACTTCCTTGAAAAGTTTTAAGCAGGACGGTCATGTGATCAAATCTGTGTTGCTAAAAGATGCCCATGGCTGTGCCATGAAGGAGTGGTACAGAGGCAGAATGAGCCAGGGGGTATCTGCAGGAAGGTTTCTGACACTCTGCTTAGTGCAGAGCCTGGCATATAGGAAATGTCCCAAAAGTAGATGATGGAGTTAATGAATAAATGAGCCAACAACCCAGAAATTTGGAAGAGGCAGTTACAAATTAGTTTTAGAATACTTAGTCTGTGTTTTAAACTATAAAGAATCTATGAAGGAAACAGGGTGGGATTAGTCATAGACCCTGAATATTTGAACCACTAGAAAGCATTCTACAGTTGATTCTGATTTCTCAAAATTAAAAGTCAGCATTTATAGGCTTTCCATATTCCAAAACAGCTTAACAGAATAGGGATCTTATTTATGCAAAAAGATTAAATTGCTCTGCGTAAGCTGTTCCTCGACTTCAATAACAGTCTTTTGTTTGTTTACCTTATGTCTGGCCAAGTGTGTTTATGTGTATGTTGTGAGTGTGTATGTGTGTGTGTAATGTATATGTTCAGAGATGCTGATGACTGATGGTCAATCAAGAAAAACCCACGCTGAAATTGTTAAGAGCTGGGAAGTGAGCCAGTTTGCAATCACTATAGGAACTGCTTGAGCAAAATTCCTTGCTACCACTCTGGTAATAAGCATTCTTCAAAAGATGCCACTTTGCATAGTTTAGTCCTCTCTGATGCAAAAGATGTCTCTTCTGAAATCAGTCTGAATTGTTTTAAAAAGGAGTGTCAATAAAATTAAACCCAACCTATACACTGATTTCAAGAACAATAAAAATAAATAGTAGCCTTATGCTGTAAAGAAGTCTGTATGAAGCGTATGGAGGTACATACACTTGGAGAGATTTGGCACTGAATCTTACCTTCACTGCATTTTTTTCATTTAGTTTTCATAAACTTATATAATAGAGGAATGAGAGGTGAAAAATCCAATAATTACTACTAACAATTTTTCCTCAAAAATAATGAAGAAGAGAAATAGGTTTACTTGGAGTAAAGTGCAGCTTTTCAAAAAGACACATTTTTAAAAAGCAAAAATTGATAGATTATTAGCATATAAATTCACATTCTTTTGCTTTGCAAATGTTTTCATGGAACAATGAAACACTAGGCACAGTAATATCAAGTTATTATTCTAGTTCCTATGGAAACATGCATTCTACTTACTGAGGCCAATCGATACGGACACAAGTGCAAGGCAAATACACTTAGGGAGAAATCATATAATTTATATCTCTAGTAAAATGTGCTCATAGCTATCAGAAATAATAGCAAAAAAAGAACTCAAAAGTCACTGAGGAATGTTCTCTGAAGTTATTAGCCACTAGTACCATTATGAAAATCAAAGCAAAACATAATCCTAAATTCTAGAATCCTACACTTGGATTTGGTGTGTGCAAACAAACATCAAGCATACAAAGATGAAGGCTGAAAACAAACTAGATCCAGCTCTTACTTTAAAAAAGAAGAAGAGGCTGGGTGTGGTGGCTCATGCCTGTAATCCCAGCACTTTGGGAGGCCGAGGAGGATGGATCACCTGAGATTAGGAGTTTGAGACCAGCCTGGCCAACATGGTGAAACCCTATCTGTACTAAAAATACAAAAATTAGTTGGGCATGGTGCCACGTGCCTGTAATCCCAACTACTCAAGAGGAGGCAGGAGAATTGCTTGAACCTGGGATGGGGAGGTTGCAGCAAGCAGAGATCGCACCATTGTACCCCAGTCTGGACAAGAGCGAAACTCCATCTCAAAAAGAAAAAAAAAAAAAGAAGAAAGAAAGAAATATTTGCCTATGCTGAACATCACCTTGTTCAGTAAATCTCAGTAACCAAAAATGAACAGGAATCTCATAAATAAGGTCATACAGAAAAGAATACATAGTACTTTTTGTAAAGCTGTTAGTTATAAAGAATTTGACACCACAAGAGAATTAGATAAAAGTATAAATATATTTAAAAATCAAACAGCAAATATTTCTTGGGGACTTTACTGTGTGCCAAGCACTATGCTATGGTCCCCCAGTCTTTTTTAATCTCATTATATTTATTCTCAAGTCTGCCCAGAGCGACAGCATAAAAACTAACCTATTTCTACACCATTTTTCTACATTAAACACCCACTCAAACAAGGAGCCCAATGTAGTCCATGTTCTTCCTCTTTTTATTTTGGCCTACAATATTTGCTTTTCTTTGAAAGATTGCCATGGCAGGGGGTGACTGGCGAGAGGTGGGTATCTTCTTCTCAAAAAAGGAAGATCACCATCATTGCCCACTTTCTCCTTTCCTCATTCTTAATGATTCTCCTTCAATATGGTTAACTTATGGCTCCACAGTCATCAACTCCAGCTGATTTTCACTTATTATTATTACCGAGGTGGGGCAAATAAAAGCAATCAGGTGAAACCCTTGGTTCAGATTTCCTCCATATTTCATGAAATCCATCAAACAAATGCCCAGATTATATTTCACTGTAAGATGAGCAAAAGCACACCTCTTCAGCTGCACCCCCTTTCCTCGTGCATTCATGGATGCCAAAATCAGAACCTACAGTTCAGGAGCTGCACACAGTTGCATCTTGTTTTGAGTTTTTGTTTGCAAACTGTCAGTAAGATCAGAATAAATTGCATGATATGCAGTCCAATATGTATATTCTTGAGCACGTCTCAATGTACCCACCAAAAAATATTCATAGCTGCAGGTGTAGAAAAAAAAAGGCAGAATTATGGCTTGATTTGCCTTGATAAGCATGGTAATTTTCTGTACACTTTTCATAAAGTGCTAATCAATTTCAGCTCAAAATAGATTGAAACACCCAACAGATTGCTGCCATAGTCCACAAATGTTTGTCATTCGTAAGCTGTGGCAATAATGTGAATACAGAGGAGGGAAACTGCAACTGAACTACACCTTGTAAAAATTCCTTTCATTTGCTTTGTAATAACCCCTGAAGAAATGTTAAGAATTATTTTGAAATCACATATGTTTGTAATTTCCATTTTTTCTTGCTACATCTAAGAGTATTTCTTGTCACACAGTAATATTATGTGTCTATTATATGGTTATAAATGAATTATATTTAAAACTCAGTGTAATAATGACATTTATGACTCAGAGATCATGTTTATATTGTTTAATACTCCTCTAAAATATAATTACAGACTTTAGCTCTATTACATACAACTTAGAATTGAATCATCACAGACTTCTACACTGAATCGTCTTTTCTATCAACATGTTAAGCTATTAGAAGTAGTATAATTTTTTGAAAATGCTTTGTCAATATTCTAGTCCTTCTACCTTTGCTATTTCACAAACACTTAGAGGTGCTAATATTCATACTAATGCACCTTTTCAATTGGCAGTGCTCTTGCCACATGAATCGCTCATCTGCCCAGGATGTTTTGCCAAACATAGGTGACAAAACTTTACTGAGGACTGTCATACTCCTACACAGGGAGCCTCTGCTCAAAACTGAGCAGAGACCTTCCCTTTGGTAAGTGTGAGCAACAATTGGAAATGACATTTAATCTGGGTATGGAATACTCTCCACGGAAAGTAGGAAATTAAATGAGAATAGATAACATTTCAAATTTTCACACCTTCCTCTTCTAAACTACAAAAGTGATAATATAATTTTTTAGGATAAAAACTATACAATTTGACTTTAGAAAAAAGAGTACTTAAAAGTTGTGACTTTAAGCAACTTCTGTGATCACCATCTGCCAAAAACTTTATTGCCAAAATGAGAGGCAGGAGAGTGTAGTAGATGCAGCTCTGTATTCAGAAAGTCTGAGTTCTTATTTTGAATCTGCCATTTAATATGTGACCTCGAACAAGTGACTTGCCCTCTCTGTGTTTCAGCTTGCTCATTTATAAAAAGGGGGTTATAAGTGTAACTAATGTAGGATTATCCTGAGATTAATAAATGAGATAATATGTGCAAAGATCTGAGCAAAGCTGCTTCAAGTCAATTCTCAATTAATAGCTGCCTTATCATCACCATCTACTTGAAAGAGCAGTTGTAGGCCCATGGGTATGAGTATGATGGTAAGTGCTCTTACCCTGCTTCATATGACTTGTCCATTGAGTGCTTGTTTCTTGCTCTGGGTCCTCTTGGGTCACGTGTATTAACCTACTTTCCAAAAGAGACAATAAAATGTTTGGAAATCAAGTCAGCTCTGCATGAGGTGGTAAACTATTGGCCCAAGCTACCACCTACTAATCCAGTTAAAGTGATGAAAGGGGTGTGTGAAAGATGTAAAACACTCTTAGAATGTTTATGTTCTTGATTCACCTGCATATATGGAAAATGTCATTTTCAGTTTATTGCAGACCTAATACAGCAGCAGCTGGGTTCAGTGAAAAACAGTTTCCAGGATCTTATTCTCATAATCTATTTATATGCCTGGAACTGAGCTATATAATCACCTCTGCTAAACTGTTAGATTGACAGAACCCATTGAGGAAGAAGTTTATGTGTTCTGACTTTGACAAACTGAATTTGAGGTTGTTTCAGGAGAGGAAATTCAAGCTATTCACGCAATTAAAAAACAGAAGCATACAATTCAGAAAAAATTTATTAGTGTACTTAAAATATAATGACAAAAATACATTTTAAACATTCTTAAATAATTACTAGAATGAAAAGGAAAAAAGCTCACTGCTCTGACTCAAAAGTCACTTAAAATCTCCACACCAGGTGGGGTGGCTCACGCCTGTAATCCCAGCACTTTGAGAGGCCAAGGTGGGTGGATCACGAGTCAGGACCATCCTAGCCAACACAGTGAAACCCCATCTCTACTAAAAATACAAAAATTAGCCGGGCATGGTGGCTTGCACCTGTAGTCCCAGCTACTCGGGAGGCTGAGACAGACAGGAGAAGTGCTTGAACCCGGGAGGCGGAGGCTGCAGTGAGCCGAGATCAAGCCACTGCACTCCAGCCTGGGCAACAGAGTGAGACTTTGTCTCTAAAAAAAAAAAAAAAGAAAAAAAAAATCTCCACACCAAATATATCCCTTTTCTTTCTTGCCCTTTAGAATATTTCTACCTGGTGGTTGCTGTGGAACAAATCAATCTACAAAAGGAGTCAAAACAGAAACATATTCAAGAAAATTCAGGCTATTGACATATACATCTGTATTTAGAAGCTGTTATTTACTTGAGATCAAAGAGCCATTTGTCAGTTTCCCTTTGACACTTGATTACATTTTACATATTTGTGTTTTTCTTGAAAATGCCAAAACATCAGCACAAACAACTTCTAGGATAAACTATCACCATATTCACTTTTCCAAAGGCAAATTAAATATTATACAATGCATAAGTGAGGAGTACAAAGCCTTAACAAACACTGCTTTACAAGTAATTTTGATGCTGCCTATACTACTTTTTTTTATTATTTTACTTTTTATTTTTTGAGATGGAGTCTCGCTCTATCACCCAGGCTGGAGTATAATGGCAAGATCGCAGCTCACTGCAACCTCCACCTCCCAGGTTCAAGCGATTCTCCTGCCTCAGCCTCCTGAGTAGCTGGGACTACAGGTGCCCGCCAACACACCTGGCTAAGTTTTTGTATTTTTAGTAGAGATGGGGTTTCACCATATTGGCCAGGCTGGTCTTGAACTCCTGACCTCAGGTGATCTGCCTGTCTCAGCCTCCCAAAGTGCTGGAATTACAGGCATGAGCCACTGCGCCCAGCCATACTACTTTTATAATTTCAGGCACTCTCTCAAGGACAAACTTTTGGAACTTTAGCTAGATATTAGGTCAAAATCAGATTTTACAAGAGGTTACTGATACAAAAAAAAAAAGTCAAATCTTGCATAGAGCTAAAGAAAGATCACTATCTATACAAAATGCTTTGTACATAACAGATATTCAACATGCATTTGTGAACTCAATAAATAGCTTTCAGTGCAAAAGGTCCTTTGTATACATTAAACAAATATTTAAAGTGTCTAAATATGTAAGATGCATTTTAGTTATTTTTTTCATCAGTAGTTTACACAAGTTGGGGGGCACCCATCCCAGAAATGGGCAAGAAAAAACACTGTAAAAATAGATGAAATATTAGAGATTATGTTCATATTAATATTAATCTTATTTTTATAAAATACATAGTTGTATATAATATATAAATTATTTTAATAAAGTAGCACATATATAATTATACACACACATACACACAGCTGCACTGGAATATGTGGCCAAATTTGTTTATGCCACTAGTGTGTGTGTTTAAAAGACTATAAACACTATATAAAATGAAAAACTCTTCATTCACAGATCAAATCTATGTTGTCATTTTACATATTATGAAAATTTATTTGCTAGAGTTCTAACATTCTTCACAAATATGACTGGCTACTCTATTAATGTATATTTCTTTTGCTTGGTTGTATACACAGTAAAAGACACATGTATCCTGAATAATCAGAGTTTTTCATAATCTCAGCTTTGAGTTTTAGCTGATGTTTATGGGGAGAAAAAATAACAGTCTTTGCCAGAAAACATACAAGTGCCAACAGATATATGAAAAAGTGCTCAATATCACTAAGCATCAGGGAAATGCAAATCAAAGCCACAATGAGATAGCATCTTATCCCAGTTAGAATGGCTTTTAAAAAGATAAAAATAACAGATTCTGGTGAGGATGCAAAGCAAAGGGAACTCTTATAAACTGTTGGTGGGAATGTAAATTAGTATGACCACTACGGAAAACAGTATGAAGATTCCTTCTAAAACTGAAAGAACTATCATATGATCCAGCAATCCCACTGTTAGGTATCTATCCAAAGGAAAAGAAATTAGTATATCAAAGAAACTTGCCTTATCAAAAGCCTGCACTTGCAAGTTTATTGCAGCACTATTCACAACAGCAAAGATACAGAATCAACCTAAGTGTCCATCAATGGGCAAAAAGATAAAGACAATGTGGTCTACATACACAACGGAATACTATTCAGCCATACAGAAAGAATGAAATCTTGTCATTTGCAACAACATGGACATAAACTAGAGGTCATTATGTTAAGTGAAATAACCCAGGCACAAAAAGACAAATTACGTATGTTCTCACTCATAAGAGTTTTTTAAAAAATTGATCACAGGGAGATAGAAAATAGAATGACAGATAGATCAGATGCTGGGAAGGGTATGAGGGTAGGATGGGGAGATAAAGAGAGGGTTTGTGGTTGGGTGTAAATTTACATTAAGAAGAAGTTCTAATGTTCCAAAGCAGACCAGGGTGACTATAGTTAGCAACAATATATTGCACATTTCAAAGTAGCTAGAAGACTTGATCATTACACATTACAAGCATGTATAAAAAATTCACTTGTACTCCATAAATATGTAAAATATGTATCAATAAAAAACAAATGAAAACCAATGATGAATAAGGTAAATATATTAATTCTTTATACTTGTAAAGATTTTACCCTGAGAGATGCAACACACCTATCTTAGGCAAATCTTTTAAATTTCCTAAGCCTTGGTTTTTACATAAATAAAATGGAGATAATAATGCCTTTCCCAGAGATAGATAAAATGGTGGGGTGACGGGGAAGTACACAAAAGCCCAGATGGTAGAAAGTCTTACTGTTAAGGTCCAGGAATAATATGTAAAAAAATGCTTATAAAATGATGTTAATAAAAAAGAAGTAAATTAAATTGTGCCTATGATGCAACTAACAAGTGATTCAATATCATAATATTTGCATGTGGACAAAGACTAGGAATGCATATAAACACATGAAAACAGGTAATTTATTAGAGGCAAAACTGTGCATAGCTGTTTTCCTTTTCTCATTTCTGTTATTGTTGGCATAATATTGTTTGTGCTATGCATTTTAAATGACAATTTTGACAGCCTTGACAAAAGAATTATAAGAATTGTTATTTCCAATAAATGACATGTTAAAGATAAGCAATTTATCTATTCACTAAAGGCAAACAACAATTTAGGTTTATTTTATTTATGCACTGCTGATGTCCATTTAAACAACATTGTAAGTTTATGGTATCATAAGGAGATGTATTAAAAAGGCTTGTTGGTTTGTTCTGGTTTTTTTTCTTTGCTTATCTGTAAAAATAATAACTAGTTATTGCTACAACCAGCTTGTTTTACTTAATATATAATTCCACATTTCCCCAGTAACACTTACTCTCATTTTCTACAACTATTTCAAGTCTTCTCCAAGCTCCTCAAACTGCCAAATCCATTCCCTCCCACCTCTCTTTGACAGCAACAGAATTCGTCAGACTATCAGCACTTTTGTATGAGTGCTGGTGCCCTGAGCCCCAATTCCAAAAGGGCAAGGTGAAGAGAACCAAGAGATACATACCATGACTTGTTACAGGAGAAGAACCCTATCTCAGAAAACTCAAATCTTTTATAATGGGCAGTGAGTATGCCTCCCATTTGCTTCAGAGGGAGAAACATACTATATCTTCCAAGGCTATTCACTATTCAAACATTCTCAAAATGATAGTCTGGAACAAAAACAGTCAGTGTCCCTGCTTGTAAAACATGCAGCAATGCGAGACCCATGGAGAATTATCTCACTATATGTGGTTCCATTTATATGTCATTTTTGGAAAGGCAAAACCATGGGGATAAAGAACAGGTCATTGCCAACCAGGGATCAAGAGTTTGCCTACAAATGGAGGAGTATAAAGGAATTTTGGAGGATGATGAAAATTTTCTGTATCCTGATTTGGGTGTATCCTGATTTTGGTGGTAGATACACAAATCTATGCAAGTGTTAAAATCCACATAGCTTTACACTCCAAAACAAGTAAATTTTACTGGAAATTTACTTTTAATTTAAAAATTGCATGTGCAACCAAAGGAAAAAATAGACAAACAGAACTTCATCAAAATTTAAATTTCTGTTGATCAAAGGCCATTATCATGACAGTGAGACAATGCCTAAAATGGGCTTGCAAAAAAAAAAGCCAATTTCATATATAAGGCCAAACTCTAGTATCTATTTTATAAAAACTCCAACTCTACAGCAAAAACAAACAAACAAAAAAAAACAAAAAAAAGCACCCAATCAAAAACCAGGCAAAGGACTTGAATAAATATTTCTCCATAGAAAATACACAAATAGACAACACATGAAAAGATGTCTGCAATCATTAGTCATTAGGGAAATGGAAATTAAAACCACAAGGAGAGTCGAGCATGGTGGCTCAGGCCTGTAATCCTAGCACGTTGGGAGGCCGAGGCAGGAGGATCATTTGAGGCCAGGAGTTCAAGACCAGCCTGGCCAACATGGTGAAACCCCGTGTCTACTAAAAATACAAAAATTAGACAGGTGTGGTGGTGTGTGCCTGTAACCCCAACTACTCGCGAGGCTTAGGCAGGAGAATTGCTTGAGCCCAGGAGGCAGAGGTTGCAGTGAGCCAAAATCGTGCCACCGCACTCCAGCCTGGGCCAGAGAGCAAGACGCAGTCTCAAAGAAAAAAAAAGAAGAAGAAGAAGTAGGTACACTACAACAGAGAATAACAAGTGTTGACAAGAATGTGGAGAAACTGCAACCCTGGTACACTGCTGGTAGGGATGTAAAATGTTGCAGCTGCTATGGGAAAAAGTTTGGCAGTTTCTCAAAGAGTTAAACATTATGTTGCCCAATTTTAAATGGGGTTGCTTTGTTTTTCTCATACATTTAAGTTCCTTACAGATGCTGGATATTACACCTTTGTCAGATGCATACTTTGCAAATATTCTCTCATTCTGTAGGTTGTCTGTTTACTCTGTTAATAGTTTATTTTGCTGTGCAGAAGCTCTTAAGTTTAATTAGATCCCACCTATCAATGTTTGCTTTTGTTGTGATTGCTGCTGGCATGTTTGTCATGAAATTTTTGCCAGTTTCTATGTCCAGAATGGCATTGCCAAGGTTGTCTTCCAGGGTTTTTATAGTTTTGTTTTACATTTAAGTCTTTAATCCATGATGAGTTGATTTTTGTATATAGTATAAGAAAGAGGTCCAGTTTCACTCTTCTGCATATGGCTAACCAGTTATCCCAGCACCATTTATTGGATGGCACTTCCTTAAAGAGCTAAAAACAGAACTACCATTCAACCCAGCAATCCCATTACTGGGTATATACCCAAAGGAATATAAATCATTCTATCATAAAGACACATGCAAGTGAATGTTCACTGCAGCACTATACACAATAGCAATGACAGGGAATCAACCTAAATGTTCATAAATGGCCGATTGGATGAGGAACATGAGGTACATATACACCATGGAATATTATTGCAGCCATAAGAAGAATGAGATCCTGTCTTCTGTGGGAACATGGATGTAGCTGGAGGCCATTATCCTTGGCAAACTAACCTAGGAACAAAAACCAAATACTTCATGTTCTCACTTATAAGTGGGAGCTAAATGATGAGAACACATGGACACAAACAGATGAACAACAGACACTGGAGCCTACTTAAGGGTGGAGGGTGGACAGAGGGAGAGGATCAGAAAAAATAACTATTGAGCACTTGGCTTAGTACTTGGGTGATGAAATAATCTGTACCACAAACCCCTGTGACACAAGTTTGCCTATATAACCAAGCTGCACATGTACCCTGAATCTAAAATAAAAGTTTTTTTTTTAAAGAAAAATCTGGAGTTCTAATGACAAAAAAAAAAAAAAAAAAAAACCTACACACGGAATTACCACATGGCCCAGCAATTCCACTCTTAGGTATATACTGAAAAGAAGTGAAAACACGGATTCAAACAAATACTTGTACAACAATGTTCACAGCAGTACTATTCCCCACAGCCAAAAGGGAGAAACAACCAAAATGTTCACAGATGAACATATAAACCAACTGCAGTATATACAGAGAAGGGAGTATTATTCAACCATAAAAAGGAATGAAGTTCTGATACATGCTACAACATGGATGAGCCTTGAAAACATTACACTAGGTGAAATAAACTAGACACAAAAGAATGAACATTGTATGATTCCACTTATATGAAATATTTAAGATAGCCAAATTCATGGAGACAGAAAGAAGGTTAGAGGTTGCCAGGGGCTGAAGGGAGGACAGGAATGGGGAATTATTGCTTAATAGGTACACAATTTCTGATTGGGGTGATGAAAAAGTTCTGGAATTAGATAATCATGATGGTGAGAATATATTTAATATTACTAAATTGTACACTTAAAATGATTAAAATGGTAAATTTATACTATGTATCTCTCATTACAATAGAAAATT
This sequence comes from Homo sapiens, assembly GCF_000001405.40. Classification (NCBI taxonomy): domain Eukaryota; kingdom Metazoa; phylum Chordata; class Mammalia; order Primates; family Hominidae; genus Homo; species Homo sapiens. The sequence goes on from NC_000014.9 coordinate 29,878,933, forward strand.
TTAATAAAATACATGAAAATTTAAAACCACCTAAAACCCAGATTCCTCCACAGTATAATTCTTGCTACTATACTCTCCTCCTTATAGTAAAAGTTATTGAAATGGTTGTCTTCACTCACAATCTTCACGTCTGCTCTAGCTCAGCACCCACCTTCAGCCTGCCTGGCCTCCTAGCTCTCTTCACCTGCTCTCCACCAAGGACATCACCCAGCACCTTGCACCAAATCCTTCTCTATTATGCTCACTGACTTCTGCCTCATTCCTAAAACACCCTGTGATATGGTTTGACTATGTCCCCACCCAAATCTCAACTTGAATTGTATTTCCCAGAATTCCCACATGTGGGAGGGACCGCGGTGGGGCGCGGGTAATTTAATCCTGGGGGCCGGTCTCTCCCGTGCTATTCTTGTGATAGTGAATACGTCTCACGAAATCTGGTGGGTTTATCAGGGGCTTCCACGTTTGCTTCTTCCTCGTTTTCTCTTGCTGCCACCACGTAAGAAGTACCTTTCGCCTCCCGCCATGATTCTGAGGCTTCCCTAGACATGTGGAACTGTAAGTCCAATTAAACCTCTTTTTCTTCCCAGTCTCCTGTATGTCTTTATCAGCAGCATGAAAACAGAATAATACACTAAATTTGTACTGGGAGTGGGGTGTTGCTGAAAAGATACCCAAATATGTGGATGCAACTTTGGAACTGGGTAAGAGACATAGGTTGGAACAGTTTGGAGGGCTCAGAAGAAGACAGGAAAATGTGGGCAAGTTTGGAACCTCCTAGAGACTTTGACAAAAACACTGATAGTGATAGGAACAATAAGGTCCAGGCTGAGGTGGTCTCAGATGGAGATGAGGAACTTGTTGGGAACTGGAGCAAAGGTGACTCTTGTTATGTTTCAGCAAAGACACTGGCAGCATTTCGCCCCTGCCCTAGAGATCTGTGGAACTTTGAACTTGAGAGAGATGATTTAGGGTATCTAGTGGAAGAAGTTTCTAAACAGCAAAGCATTCAAAATGTGACTTAAACGTGCTGTTAAACACATTCCATTTTAAAAGGGAAGCAGAGCATAAAGGTTCACAAAATTTTCAGCCTGATGATGCAGTAGAAAAGAAAAACCCATTTTCTGAGAAGAAATTCAAAATGGCTGCAGAAATTTGCATAAGTAGCAAGGAGCCTAATGTTAATCCCCAAGACCATGGGGAAAATGTCTCCAGGCCATGTCAGAGACCTTCATGGCAGCCCCTCCCATCACTGGCCCAGGGGCCCAGGAGGAAACAGTAGTTTCGAGGGCCAGGCCCAGGGTCCCCTTGCTGAGTGCAGCCTGGGAACTTGGTGCCTTGTGTCCCAGCCACTCCAGTGGCTGACAGTGGCCAATATAAAGCTCAGGCTGTGGCTTCAGAGGGTGGAAACCTCAAGCCTTGGCAGCTTCTACATGGTGTTGAGCCTGCTGGTACACAGAAGTCAAGAACTGAGCTTTGGGAACCTCCGCCTAGATTTCAGAAGATGTATAGAAATGCCTGGATTCCCAGGCAAAAGTTTGCTGCATGAGCAAACTTGGAGGGCCCTCATGGAGAACCTCTGCTAGGGCAGTGCAGAAAGGAAATGTGGGGTTGAAGCCCCCACACAGAGTCCCTACTGGGGGACCACCGAGTAGAGCTGTGAGAAGACAGCCACAGTCTTCCAGACCCCAGAATGGTAGATCCACCAACAGCTTGCACCATGCACCAAGAAAAGCCTCTGACACTCAATGCTAGCCCATGAAAGCAACCAGGAGAGAGGCTGTACCCTGCAAAGCCACAGGGGCGGAGCTACACAAGACCATGGGAACCCACCTCTTCCATCAGTGTGACCTGGATGTGAGACCTGGAGTCAAAGGAGATCATTTTGGAGCTTTAAAATTTGACTGCCCTGCTGGATTTCGGACTTGCATGGGCCCTTGCATGGCCAATTTCTCCATTTGGAATGGCTGTATTTACCCAATACCTGTACTCCCATTATATCTAGGAAGTAACTAGATTGCTTTTGATTTTACAGGCTCATAGGTGAAAGGAACTTGCCTTGTCTCACATGAGACTCTGGACTGTAGGCTTTTGGGTTAACACTGGAATGAGTTAAGACTTTAGGAGACTGTTGTGAAGGCATGATTGGTTTTGAAATGTGAGGACATGAGATTTGGAGGGGCCAGGGGTGGAATGATATGATTTGGCTGTTTCCCCACCAAAATCTCAACTTGAATTGTATCTCCCAGAATTCCCATGTGTTGTGGAAGGGACCCAGGGAGAGGTAATTGAATCCTGGGGACCGGTCTTTTCCGTGCTATTCTCATGATAGTGAATAAGTCTCACAAGATCTGATGGGTTTATCAGGGGCTTCCACTTTTGCTCCTCCCTCATTTTTTCTTGCTGCCGCCATGTAAGAAGAGCCTTTCACCTCCCACCATGATTCTGAGGCCTCCCAGCCTTGTGGAACTGTAAATACAATTAAACCTCTTTTTCTTCCCAGTCTCGGGTATGTCTCTATCAGCAGCGTGAAAATGGACTAACACACCACATTTCCTTAGTTTCCTGAAATGACACTCACAGTTTTCCTCCTCCATCTCTGACCCACTCCTTCTCCATTTTGCTTTTTATTTTTTTTGTTTTGTTTTGCTTCTGGTTTGTTTTGTTGGTGGTTTGGTTTGGTTAAGTTTGGTTGTGGGCCATTCAGTAGTAATTCTTTAATTTTTTCATCAGGTTCCAGTTTGGGGACCTCTCTTGATCCCATCCCATGGACTTTCACTTGGCTTATTCTTCCTCTCTCCCAAAACTTCAATAAATATGGATGTGTTTCCCAAAACTTCTCCTTTTTTTGTCCTTATCTAATTGAACTGCTCAATTACTCACCCAAGTCATAATATCATCCTTTACCTTTCCCTCCCCACCCAAAGAAGTTATTACTTCTTCCATAAAGTGTTCCTCATACCAGAAATCCTAAACTCCCAAAACTTTCTATCTCTTCTCATGGAGCACGTCTTACTTATCCCTTCCATAGTTTTATAGTTTTTTAGCATAATTTTCTATTTCTGTGTTATTCTCCCATTTCCAAATGCAATTGATTTCAGACTCCTTAAGGACAAGATTTAACTTATACATCAATATATATCAGAACTCAGCTCAATCCCTGACACAACAGTAAGCAGTCAATAAATATATGAATAACTTTCTTGATTACAAATTGATAACCATAAAAACAAAGCATTTCTGCTAAATACATATTTGAATATTGTGATTTCAGTATATTAGTTAGCTTTCAATTAATCTACAAATAATAATTTATCATGTCCATGTTTTCCACCAAAAATAAATAAAATAGGGCAATTTAGGACAAATAGTGACTCACCACTGAAACTTAACCAATGTTGTCTAATATATTTCCAGTGAATTCGTTATCATGTATTATACGATGATTATGTTAAAGGCCCAAAGACTAGTCCTAGGTATTATTCTTTAGAAACAATTATGGCTAAAAATAAATAAGCTCCAGTCCAAATTACTCTAAAAATTGTGTTTTTCTCCAGTTTATTTATCTTTTATTAGTTGTGGTGAGATAATATGACATAAAATTTACCATCTTAACCATTTTAAAGTGTACAGTTCAGTAATGTTAAGTGTATTCACAGTGCTGTGCAAAACATTTCTATCTTGCAAAACCGAAGTTCTATATCCACTAAACAACTCCGCATTTTCCCTCTCCCCAGCCCCTGCCAACTGCCATTCTACTTTCTGTTTCTCTATATTTGACTACACTAGACACCTCATACAAGTTAAATCAGAGAGTATTTGTTTTTTTGTGACTGGTTTCTTTAAACTTAGCATAACATCCTCAAGATTCATCAATAGTCTATCATGTATCATGTATTACTTCTTTTTTAAGGTTGAACAATATTCCACTGTGTGTGTGTGTGTGCACGTGTATACCACGTTTTGTTTAGCCATTCGTCCATCAATGGAACTTGGGTTGCTTCGACCCTTTGGCTACTGTATTACGTTGTTCTAGCATTGCTATAAAGACCTGAGGTTGGGTAATTTATAAAGAAAAGAAGTTCTGCAGGCTATACAAGCATGGTGCTGGCATCTGCCTGGCTTCTGGGGAGGCCTCAGGGACCTTTTACTCATGGTGGAAGGTGAGGCAGGAGCAGGCATGCCACATGGTGAAAGCAGGAGCAAGAGAGAGTGGGGAAGGGTGCCATCCACTTAAAAAACCAGATCCCATGAGTATTCATTATTGCAAGAACAGCATCAAACCATGAGGCTCCACCCCCGTGGCCCAAACACCTCCCACCAGGCCCCACCTCCGCATTAAGGATTACATTTCAATATAAGGTTTGGGTGGGGACAAATATCCAAACTATATCAGCTGCTATGAACAGTGTCTCCAGTTTCTTTCAATACAGAAAAATTTTTAAATGATATCACAACCCTTATAAAGAACTAAAAGTTTACAGAAAAGAGAAGTATTTTACCATGTGTATATTTATTGCATTTTTCTCTATATATTATTTTTAGATGAAATTTTATCTTTGTGACTAACACTTTCACTAACAGACATATGTTTAACACAATCCAAACATCAAGTCTGTTCTAAAAATGCATATTCATTCACTTTAATGACAAAGTGGCTCTTTTTAGCTACATTTAGAAGGAACTTACTTTGGGAAAAGACTTGTTTACTGATTTCTGAGTTATACTTGATGGACATATCACCAAATACTTTATCTCATGTTTGAATTTGTAAATGACCATTAGTCTTTAGGAGATGTACCTGAGATTTGCCACCTAAACTCATAGTCCAGAGACCCCCAAGATTGGAAACAAAGACAAGTAAAAATGAGTAAAACGAGAACACAAGTCACAATTATGAAAACTTCTGCAATCTGTCTTTACTTGCTGCTCTCAGATGCATCACTGTCAGCATCTGACCCTGTTAGGTGGCTGATAAGAGGATTTTGAAGGCCAGCAGATTTTATTTTTAACCTCCCCATATGGTTGACCTTCTAATTTCAATGAGAGCATCATCTGCAGAGATGATCATCAAATGGCAACTCCTACCCTAAAATGTTTTGTGTAATTTGGTCAACTCAAAAGTGATGCTCAGTTAAAGAACAATATGTGCAGTGTGATCTCCTTTTTACTTAAAAGTTTGTACATAAATACATTTTCAAAGGTCTGCAAGGCTACAGATGAAAATATCAAGAGTCATTTCCTGTTATTGGGGTTAAAAGCATTTTTTTAAAACAATGAATGCAATTTGTATACAATTTTTACTGGCAAGGTTTTCAATCAGTTAAATTTTTAATGTAAAATATATATAACAATACCTCAAATTGAAAATTGGGCTAAAACATGAAAAGAAAAGTTAGTTGCACTTTACCAAACATACAAATGTATACTAATGTATTAATATTTCATGTCTAATATTAGCAATAACAATAATCACTCACTAATACATTATTACATTTCTCAATATTAAAAGGGATATAAATTATTTTTTCTGCAATTTATGATCCATAATTTTATACCCTCATGAACCTTGAAGATAAAAATAACAAAGATGATTTTCCATGTGTAAGAACTTTACATATAAAAATGATATAAAACTATTCAGTCATTCAACAAACATCTAACAGATGCCTATTTGCCCCAAAGACAAATATATCTAAAAAGAAAGGAGATGAGAAAGCCAATGTCAACATATCATGGACTTCGATCAGGTGACAAAGACAGATGCTAGGATATTATTATGGCATACAAGTAGTTCACTGAGCGTGGAGAAGGAGGCTGAGGATGCAGAGTGGAGCAAGCAGCGAATTCTTCCCTGAGAAGTCAAGAAAGGCATCCCAGAAAGAAGCAAATTAAATCTTAAGAATTAGTAGGCTGGGCGCAGTGGCTCACGCCTGTAATCCCAGCACTTTGGGAGGCCGAAGCGGGTGGATCACGAGGTCAGGAGATCAAGACCATCCTGGCTAACACAGTGAAACCCCGTCTCTACTAAAAATACAGAAAAATTAGCCGGGCATCGTGGTGGGCGCCTGTAGTCCCAGCTACTCAGGAGGCTGAGGCAGGAGAGTGGCGTGAACCCGGGAGGCGGAGCTTGCAGTGAGCCGAGATCGCACCACTGCACTCCCCCCTGGGCAACAGAGCGAGACTCCATCTTTTAAAAAAAAAAAAAAAAAAAGAATTAGTAAAGATTCACCAGGGGTTGAGCTCAGGGATTGCGTGGGGGACCTGACAATTCTCTAGGCAAAGGGAATGACCTGGATAAAGATACAGAGGCAAGCAAACATTGCTAAAAATAGTATCCTTTGTAAGCTCTATTCCTTGGTCCTGAGAAAATAAAATGTATAGCTTTATTTATTTCTGTGAGATGAGTTACCAATGGGTACTGCTATTCAAAAAAGCAAAACAGTGCAATTCTTTTGACATTTACGGTGTCCTACTTATCCAGAAAATACCTATGTTTTTAACTAAGCTGGCTCTTCATTCATGTTCCTTTATAAACTCCCATTTACTCTGTACTTAAAAGTACATGTCATATACCACTTATAAGACCAAATGGCAATTTTAGATATTTATCAAAGACAGCTTATTTAAAAAAAAACTAAAACAAAAAATGCTTCATCTCCTGGCAAAATCTGAATAAGAACAGCATTTGCCAGGGTTAAGGGGAATTTCCCATTCTCTAAGGAGAAGACTTTAAATCAAAATACATGTTTTTCAGGGGGCATGGTGGCGCACACCTTTAATCCCCAGCATTTCGGAAAGCTGAGGTGGGCGGATCACTTCAGGTCAGGAGTTTGAGACTAGCCTGGCCAACATGGTGAAACCCCATCTTTACTAAAAAAAAAAAAAAAAAAAAAAAAAATAGCCAGGCGTGGTGGCACGCACCTACTCAGGAAGCTGAGGCAGGAGAATTGCTTGAACCTAGGAGGTGGAGGTTGCAGGGAGCTAAGATCGTACCACCATGCTCCAGCCTGGGTGACAGCAAGACTCGGTCTCAAATAAAATAAAAAATAAAAAAATAAACACTTTTTTCTGTAACAATGGTTGCAATATATTTATAGAATACCTGAGCTATAAGAAAATACTCTCCGGTATCCACACAAAGCCCCTTCACGTAGCAGTGATACGTGTCCAGGAGGAACTTTAGAACAGGCATTAAATGACGGAAGGAGGAAAGAGACTTGCCCTCCACTCAGACACATTCTTGCACAAGGAAAAGCTTACAGTAAGTACTAGCTGCTGGCAAACACTGTTACTCATTAATACTGTAGAAATCAACAAAATTTCAGAGTTTACCTGGTATGTTCAACAGCTCAAACTGCTTCTGTGCCCAGGCATTTTTAATTCTTAGCAGTGGCTGCCAAAATGGGAAAGATGTGAAACTGGAACATAAAGGATTTCTATTCTTTCCAAACGTAGATACATCCAGATCCAGGTAGAACATGAGAAAATCTCAGATGAAAGGAGCCAATTCCCACTCTCTCATCCTCTCTCCCCCAGCCAAAGGAAACAAAACCATAGTTCTACTAAACTGGTGGCAATGCCTTTTATGACATAATCTGGATGAAGAACTTAGTGTATTCAAATGAACAAGTTACTTTCAACAATCATATTTTGGAGAGAGACCTCCTAGAAGTGTACTCAGCCATGCAATGAAAAAACTTATTCTATCACCATCTGCTGATATCCTTTCAGCCAATTCTCTTAATAAAACATACAAGCAAAGAAATGCAAGGTAGACGGCAGGATGTCACCACACCCACTATAAACATATACTGAATAAGATAATCTTCAATAGATTCCATAGTTATTTTGGAACTGACCAAAAGGTAGACTGAACAATTATTTTGTTAATTCTATTTTGTCATTTATATTTAACTTATCACAGCATTATCATCCAGCTTGGTATGTGAGCCTAACGAGAAAACATGAATTGTAATTGTTCTTCGTCCTTTGATGGTAGGTGCTGTCATTTCAACACACAATGATTGACATTTGACATCAAGTAGTCCTCTGGAAAGGAACTTGTGCACATCTCAATGGCACATCTGGTAGCTGCAAATGGTGTGGATTAGCATAATTTTTCCAGCAATGATGCACCAAAAGTATAATGCAAAATAAGACTTATGCCTGCTGTCAATTGTTTGTTCTTGCAAATGTTAATATAAAACTTTCTAGTGGTGGCTATAATGCTTACTATCAGCTCAAATTTCAGGAAAAAACCCAGAGAGCAACCTTGACTGCCCTAAAGATGATAATGAATTAACTATATGGCACATCCCTGCCGCTACTGCTCTCTTTTCCTCTGGCACAAAGATGGTCAAGTCTAGAGGTGTGACAGGTACACAAGAGGGAGTCAACACAAAGCATGCCCTCTATATTGCATGAAGATTTTATCTGTATTATATGTGTGTGTATTCAGTGTGTCCATATTACTGATGCAATTAGACCAATATTACTTTCAAATAAGCATTAAACAATTACCTGTAATGTGACAAGCAAGAATACTATGGAAAAACTGAGCACTAATCTATAGAAGAAACAGCACTGGGCTGTATGACAGATACAACGATACATAAAGTTTAGGTCCTTCCCTAAAATAATTTTAAATCCAGAAGAATAAGATTTCAAGTTATGAGTATATAGTCATGCACCACATAATGATGTTTGTGTCAACCGCAAACCACATATACAATGGTGGTCTTAGAATATTGTAATACCCTATTTTAATTGTACCTTTTATATACTTAGATACACAAATATTTACCATGTGTTACAATTGTCTATAGTATTCAGTGCAGTAATGTGCTGTACAGTTATAGCCTAGGAGCAATAGGCTATACCATACAGCCTAGGTGTGTGGTAGGCTATGCCATCTAGGCTTGTGTAAGTACACTCTATGGCATTCACACAACAAAAAACTGCCTAACAATACATTTCTCAGAATGTATCCTTGTTGTTAAGAGATGCATTACTGAGCAAAGGAATATGTCATAATAGACATAAGTCTCATTCTGTTAGACTTGAAGCAATGTATAAATGCCATATGAGGCTGGGTGCAGTGGCTCACACCTTTAATTCCAGCTCTTTGGGAGGTTGAGGTAAGAGGATCACTTGAGTCCAAAAGTTTGAGACCATCCTGGAAAACATAGGGAGAGCCCATCCCTACTTTAAAAAATAAAAATAATTAGGCAGGCATGTTGGCATGTGTCTATAGTCCCAGCAACTTGGAGGCTAAGGTGGGAGGATCACTTAAGCCCAGGAGTGATCCTATGATTTTGCCACTGCACTCCAGCCTGGGTGACAGAGCGAGAAGAAAGAAAGAGAGAAAGAGAGAAAGGGAAAGAAAAGAAAGAAAAGAAAGGAAAGAAAGAAAGAGAAAATAAAGAAAAACAAAACCAACTAAATGTCTTATGAATGGAAAAATCACAGAAATGCAAGAAGGCCTATAGAAAGACATACCAACTTGTATACGGAATGGCTGGAAAGGCATCATGAAGGGAAACACTGTATGCTTGAAACTTGGAACACGGGTTGTATTTTAATAAAGAAATATGTTCAAGAGAAGAAAAATAGTCAAACCTACATGATATAATTCAATGTTAGCAGCAAATCCGAAGTGGTACTTGAGGAAAGTCTATGACATCTAAGTTGACCAGCAGAGTTGACATAGGAGAATACTGGAAATAAAACTGCACATGGTGATGAAATACAGAAAGTAGAGGAGTCATGCAAAAAAAACCAGACACACCACACAAATCAGAAATTCAGCTCCTCAATAATGCAGAATTTATTATTACTACATCACTAAGTTACTTATAGCTGACCTAGTTTCAAAGTCCTGAGCATTAATTCATATATATTCACCCTTATTTCTAAATTGATTTGAAAAGCATTCACAGAAAAGCATAAGACTTTGTTTAAGGTGAAAATAGCTTACTGAGTAAAGCTGGGCAAAGCTAGCTCTTTATTGCATAAGCAGTTACAGTCACCCGAACCTTTCAAGCATCTATCTTTCCTATCCCCTAAACTGTGGTCTTCCTCATATGTGCAAAAACCTGTGTTTCATGTTTGGGTTCTGTTCAGGTGACTAATATTAACAGCATTGGTCCTCTAGTCCTTGAGTCATTAATACTACTTGAGACATTCAAATGGGCTATCTGATAGGTATTTGGATATAAGCGTCTAAAGTTCAAGACATAAATTTGAGCTCACAAGCATACGGAGCCTTTACTTCATTCAGACTCCACTCAGTTGTCACCTCTCCAAGAGGCCCATTGAAAACAACACCTAAAGATGGCCGAATAGGGAACAGCTCTGGTCTACAGTTCCCAGCGAGATTGACGCAGAAGATGGGTGATTTCTGCATTTCCAACTGAGGTACCTGGTTCATCTCATTGGGACTGGTTGGACAGTAGGTGCAGCCCATGGAGGGCAAGCCAAAGCAGGGTGGGGCATCACCTCACCCGGGGAGCAAGGGGCTGGGGGATTTCCCTTTCCTAGCCAAGGGAAGCCATGAGTGACTGTCCATCAATAATAGACTGGATGAAGAAAATGTGGCATATATACACCATGGAATACTAAGCAGCCACAAAAAAGGATGAGTTCATGTCCTTTGCAGGCACATGGATGAAGCTGGAAACCATCATTCTCAGCAAAATATCACAGGGACAGAAAACCAAACACTGCATGTTCTCACTCATAAGTGGGAGCTGAACAACGAGAACACATGAACACAGGGAGGGGAACACCACACATCAGAGCCTGCCGGATGTGTGGACAAGGAGAGGGATAGTGTTAGGAGAAATACCTAATGTAAATGATGAGTGGAAGGGTGCAGCAAACCAACATGGCACATGTATACCTATGTAACAAACCTGCACGTTGTGCATGTGTACCCTAGAACTTAAAGTATAATAATAATTTAAAAAATTACTCAAATATCCTTTCATTCATCCAACAAGAATTTATAGAGCACCTATTCTACGGCAGACACTTAACTAGGCTCTGAGGATACAGAAGGGAGTAGAAAGGAACAGTGTCTAATTTTCTAATGAAGTTCTCAAATAAGTTGTGTCATTTAATTACACATATGCATTTCTGAAATCCCTAGATTATATTATTGCTACTACATTTTAATAGTGTTTTAATACTTTTGCCAGCATTTTATCAAATGCAGTTCTCTCCAGAATAATTCTGTTCTCCTGAGATAAAGCAAAGAACTGCTAGTTTCTGGCATGTTCAGTTATTTCAAGCATTTTATTTGTTTTCTCACTGCTAAGAACTTTTACTAATTCTCCCAACCTGTTATAATTAAAGCAATAAATCTCTGGATGGCATCTTTGAAAGTGAGCGCTTCATCAAATAAATAATTTCTATCCCCAATTCCTACCCATCACTCACTCACTGTATATTCTTGAGCAAGGGAATCCTCAATTCTTCATCTATAAAACAAATGTTCTGGGAGGAATAACAAACGTGGCACAGTACCTTACATAAATAAATGTTATCCAAAAATAAATAACTAGATAAATAGGTAGATAGATAGATACATAGATAGACGGAACTCCTGACTCAATATAGAGAATGAAGGTGAGTTAGGCAATAACCTTAAAAAATTCACAGGACTGAAACAAGCTCTCTGGCCTTTCTCTTTTTTTTCTTCAGTAAAATAATTAAAGATAATACATTCCAAGCATATTCCAAAGAAAGATAATCTTCCAATTTAGTAACCCTTCTAAGGGAAGAAAGTGCCTACCTAGTTTATGATTGCATGAAGTACAAACACAGAAACAAATTATACCAAGAAACCTGATTGCCATTTGACACTGCATACCCTTAACAAATAAAGATATATAATTTTGATTATATGTTGATATGCTGTTAATGTTGAATGAAAGTTAATGTTAATGTTAATACTGAATGAAAGTTAATGTTCCATATGATTTTGAAAATTCTATCTATCACCAAGGTCACAGTTTCTTGTGATCAGTTTTATTTGCATTTAACATAAAATATACCTGATAATAAAATATCAAGAGAGAATCCTTACCAAAAATATTCATCATGTAATTAACAAATGCCTGCTATGTACCGGCACTATCCTAGACACTGGGGATTTATCAAGGAAGAAATGTACCAATGGCTCATAGATGCTAGCCAGATGCCCAAAGGACAGCTATGTAATAGGTGACAAATGTAAAACAAGTGAGAAGAAAAACTCCTTTAAAGTAGTATAATTTTCACTGATGTGGCAGAGGTACAACTACTCTGAAACTCAAGGGAGAGCAACAACAGTCTAGTTAGAGTAATAATCAGGAATGGAGTGGCTTTTTTGTTTGTTTTTTCAGAACCACCATGAATGGTGACAGCCTCTGTCCAATTCAGTAGCAAAAACCAAAAACACAGGTGAAATATTTGGTTAGATACCTGTTTTCCTTCCTCCCATCCACCTCCTGCCTCATGCATGCACGCATGCACTATGTCACTATTGCAGGCCACCTTCTATGCCTCTGCCTTCTTCATCTTCATATTACAAATAAACCTTTTCCTTCGAGTCTATTTCAGCACCTCCTCTTCTGTGAGGACTTTTCTGGTGGCTCTAACTGAATAGGACCATGCTCTCCTATGACTCTCTAAGGCAGGGTCTCTCATAATCCACCTTTACTACTGGATGGTAAATTTTTGGGGTTTTTTTTTTTTCGTTTAAATCCCTTTCTAGATTGTTTTGTTTGCCATATTTGCGGTGAATTTCTAAACAATGCACGTATTATTCCTCTTTTATCACTCACAGAAAATATACGCTGCTTTAAAAGTAGGTACTTGAAACAAATTCATGGAATTCAATTCAGAAATAGAATTTATATGTAGCTAACTATTCCAAATACATATGCATATGAAACACACCAAAATAATCTAATCTAAATATTTTATTACAACTTCTAAAAATTTTCCCTACTCACCTCTTAAAATTTCTGAGTTTCATCAAAAGTTTAAAGGCCCACTAATGCTGATGAATACGTCACACAGTTCATTGCCTTGGTATTAATTGTAGTGACTCCACTTTGGCATAAATTAAGATTTACTAACTTTCATCAAGCCTTATGTCCTCTCAATACATGAAGGATTTTTTATCACATACTTCTTTGAGATTCCACACTTTCCAAATGTTTTTCCTACAAACAGTTCTTCAACATATTAATTTCCTTCATTTTAGCACCCATGTATGTACATCCAACCATTCCTTCTTTCATTTCCAAACACATCAATGTACTGAGTGTAACACCTTGCTTGACAAGCATGCAGGAGATATGGGGTAAGTAACCGTTAACTGGATTTTCCATTTTCTTTAAAGAACTCAAGTTTTCCAAATATATTAGCCAAATGGTTGAGGAAGTTTCTCTTTGTATCAAGAACAATATTCTGTGCCTTTTTCCACTAAATGTGAAATCATTTCATGGCCACCCATACAAAAAAAAAAAAAAAACAGCATTACACATCATCTCTTTCAGAAGTTTGTTTTGCAGTTTCCATGTTGACAGATCTCACAATAAAAGTCTTACACAAATTACCTTCTTTTCAGTGCCAAGAATGACATAATGCTACAAGATCTAGCCTCCTCTCACATACTAACTTGTGGAGAAGGTAGATGATCAAGGCTGAGGCATCTTTTCAGGTACACACTGGCTTCAGTGTGCCAAAATGCAGTAACTTTAGACATAGTACCTTCAGAAGTGGACCCATCAGACTGAGATGTTATACACTGTCCTGTTGGTACTTTAAAACTGATTATTAGAATGAATAAGAATAAATATGAATAGTCACTCATCAAAAGGGAGGTCACTAAAATTCTAGATGGCTTCATGCACTGCTTACAAATAAGAATCTGTCAACATTTCCACCAAACACATCTATTTCTAAAATGTTACAGGCATCAAACTTATGTTGGAATTGAAATACCATTAAATATATCCATCAAAGCCTATTTCTTCATAAAGTTAAATTCCATTCAGCTCTATGAATTTGAAACCCTTAGAATGCCAAATGCATTTCAATAACATATCTATTGACTTTCTTCTGAAATGGCTAGTAATGGACCTTTCCTAGGATACAATTCAAACTTTTCTAAATGAATCAGTAAGACAAAATGGACAGATTAGTAAATTTTCATTTTATTAATAATACTCTGACAGATTAGTATATTTTCATTTTCTAGTAGAGATGGTAGAAAGGTAAAATTTCATTACAACAAAAATTTTAAAGATCAGATTTCCAAATATTTAATACATATAAGAGTAGTTTATTACCAACAAAACCAAATTTTCTTGTTGAAAATTTAAAAATAAAGATGTTAATAACCAAAGTTATTCTTTCTAAAATAATTAGAATATTATTTATTTCTAAAATAAAAAGTTATTTATAATAGAAAGAGGTTTTTTTTTGGTTTTCAAATCTTTTTAGTGGCATGTGGCATTCTTTTTGTCTTCACTCACATATTTGGGCCAAAGCTCTTCCTACCTTATTTCCACTTGTTAAACGTATGGAATCTTGCTCTTAATTAAAGTCAGAAAAAATAAGTAAATCATACCAGTCACAAAAGTTATAATAAGCATATGTAATGAAAAAACATATATAAACACTTTCAACTTTAATATTAAAAGATGAGAAACACCTTGCTGACATCATTTTCTTTAGCAGTGGTTCTTAGTGTCTTCCATAATATCGCTAGCCTTATGAATGTCGGTTTCTAGGTTTCAGGTCAGAACACACAGACTCCTGGGCTCCAGTGCTAGTTCTAATTTTCAGTTCTAAGTGTGCTCCTAGATATGACTCTACACTAACACATTACAATCTCCTCGGCAATTACTGAAAACTGCCTGTGAGGCTATATTTAATTTCTGAATGCATTCACCAGGCAGCTAGTGAGTGCTCTGTATGTACCAACCACTGCTTCTGAGACTTAGATTTAAAAGAAATACCTGCATATCTTTGACCTCATGGAACCCAGAATCTATGAGAGAAGAGAATCACTATGCAAACATGTTGCATGAATATTTATACATAGTCACACCACCTGCTACAAAAGAAAAATTCAGTGAGAAATGGGAGTATATAATTAGGGAAGGTTTCTCTGAGGAAGTGATGTTAAAGTTGAGACATTCAAGATAAGCAAGAGTGAGCCAAGTGAAGTGGATGGGAGGTGGAGGAAAAGTGGTTCAGTCAGGAATAATGAGAGTATACACCAAGGAGGTGGGAGGAGGCGGGGGAGTATAAGGAACTGAAAGGCAACTGTCAAAGCCAGGGATGGCGAAAGAAGTGAGATGGGTAGATCAGCAAAATCACGCAGAGCCTTCCTTGCAATGATTGTCCATGTCCTGAATTGTGACTTTGTTCTAGATGCAAGGGGAAGTATACCATCCTCAGTTGGAAGCCAGAAGCCAAAGGAGTTCCAGGGTTGTATTCTGTATCCTCTTGGAGTACAGAGTAAAGAAAGGCAGATAATGGATGGGGACATATGGAGAATATTCTAGTGGATATCATTGAAATGTTTTACACTGCAGCATGATTTAATGAGACCTACATTTGTACAAAATTATCTGTCTGCTAAGTAAAGAATGGATGAGGAGACTTGTAGTATAGCAAAACTGACAACGTCTATCTAGGACCATGGGGTTAACAGTGGAGATGGAGAGAAATAAACAGATTTTAGATATATTTTGAAAACACAATGGACAAAACTTGGATTACATGGTGGAGAGAGGATGGAGAGACAGTAGTATTGAGAATGGTTTCTCAGTTTCTGAAACAAGCCAGAACAATACTGAATCACCCCTGGACTGTGTGCTATGTGATCAGAAGAAGCACAGAAGCAAGCTTTATTGAGCTTCAAACTTGATTTTCTCACAAGATCTTTACTAAAAGCAATTTAAACTAAGATGTCCTATTTAATTTCTAGACATATGATGTCAAAACATGTACGTTTAAATAACAGTCTATATTTAAATTCCAAGCCCCAAAGAAAAACTGGTAACTTTGAGAACTGGATACTCTCTAGCTCAACACCATGTTTATAAGAACAAATAGCCGGGCGCTGTGGCTCACGCCTGTAATCCCAACACTTTGGGAGGCTGAGGCAGGCAGATCACAAGGTCAGGGGTTCGAGACCAGCCTGGCCAGCATCTCTACTAAAATACCAAAAATTATCTGGGCATGGTGGCGGACACCTGTAATCTCAGCTACTCAAGAAGCTGAGGCAGGAGACTCGCTTGAACCCGGGAGGCAGAGGTTGCAGTGAGCCAAGATCATGCCACTGCACCCCAGCCTGGGCGACAGAGTGAGACTCCATCTCAAAAACAAACAAACAAACAAAAAACGTTCATTTATACTGTATTTAATGGATTTTTCTCCCCACCCTGACTGCTCACTTTCATATAAGCCCCATCATCTCTTAATTAAATTCCTATAAGAAGCCCCTAGCCGCCCTCCCTGTTCCCACTCTCACCGCCACTCTAGTTTCTATTCAGCAGCCAAGAGTGATCCTTTACAAACCTGAATCAGGTTTCATCACTCCTCTCAAAATCCTAAACCAGCTGAAGTCTCATTCGGAGGGAAAGGTGGAGTCCTGAAGTGTCCCGCGAGGCCCTTGGGAGCAATCTGACTTTCACCTCTCTTATCTCATCTCCCCACTCACTCCATACCAGCCTGGCAGCCTCGCTGCTGTCCTGCAAGCACTTTAGGACTTTTGCACTGACTGTTCTTTCTGCCTAAGGCACACTCTCCACCGACATGTCCACACGGCTGCTCCTTCACCTCATTTGAGTCTTTACTCAAATGTCACGTTCTCAAGGAAGCCAGCCCTGACCACCCTATGTAACACTGTAACCTGCTCCCCAACTCTACCCTGCCCTATGCACAGCAGTACCAGTTTTCCTTAACCATACTTTT
Organism: Homo sapiens; assembly: GCF_000001405.40. NCBI lineage: Eukaryota > Metazoa > Chordata > Mammalia > Primates > Hominidae > Homo > Homo sapiens. The sequence continues at coordinate 29,895,913 of NC_000014.9, forward strand.
TACTTTTATAGATAGCACTAATTATATTTAACTTTCTTACTCACTATGCTTACTTTTCATTGTTTATCTCTATCCACTAGAATGTAGCTTCAAGAGAGCAGGGATTTTGTCTGTTTTGTTTACAGATACATCTATGTGCCTAGAATACCATCTACTTTACAATAGGAGCGCAATATATATTTGTAGAACAAATGAGTGAATAAATAAATTAAGGACTAAGTATTATCCAAGTGAATCATGCCCCAAACCCTGTAAGGTAATATTTAAACAATTATCAACATTATTTAGATGAGAAAAGAGAACTAATGAAAATTTAGGAGGTTTTCCTATGTAATTAATATATGACACCAGAGCTTAAATCCAGATTTACTGACTCTTAACTTCAGAAAATCTGTTTTCCATTAACGTTTCCCAATTATAAGGTTTTTAAGGTTTCTACAGGCATGTGTGTGTACACACACACACACACACACACCCATCAAGACTATTAGCTTAAATGAAGGTTTATTTTTCCTTTGAACAGGTAATATTTGCTTAGGTGATAGGAGAGGAAATGGACTTCAGTGGTTTTGCTCTCCCTGATAATCAGTAAATCATCAGAAAAATAAAGACAGAGGACTGATTTCTGCCTGCATCGGCAAAAAAATCTTAGATTGTAAAGCTGGGCAAACACAATTCAAAACAAACAAGATATGTGGCAACCAAGTAAACGTATCTGTCATTAAGATGGCCAGGCCTTATTTACACAAAATGGTTGTAAAAGGCTGAGCTTCAAGATGTTACAATTTATTATGAGAATTAAACAGTTAAAAAAAAAAAAAAAAAACAGGGAGAGAGCAGGAACCTCCTTGCCTTCTGTCACCATAACCGACATGCAAATGAATCTCGTCAGAGCCTTGGAAGAAAATAAACTATAATGTTTAGCAGAAGAATAGGGGGTAGGTGGGTAGAAAGGATATGGGACACAAAGTATGAGTGACAATGAGAGTATTATCCAATAATGTAAGTGCATGTTCTCTAAATATTTTTCCTTTCAAAAGTAAAAAACTGCTTTCTTGTATTTATCTAATAATAAAAAATTTATAATTTTTTCATATTTTATAAAAAATGAAAATATCTATGATCCTACTAGCCAGATAAAACCACTTACAATTTTAGATAATAAGAGTATCTTTCTAGATTTCTATGTATCTATACAAATTTTTAATTGACTCATTTTATAAGTCTATTTTATAAGCTTATTTTACTCAACCATATATCGTGGACATCTTTCATGTAAATAAAAATATATTTCCACATCCACATTTTAATCTGCAAAATCTTAATTATATAGATATAACAAATTTCATTTGTTATACTACTTCCTTATTGTAATACTACTGTATACTATTTCCTTATTGTAAGATATTTGAGTTGTTTGCTATTTGTTTCCTTTTATAAACAACTATACAATGGGTATTACCGCACAAATAATCAGATATTCCTGCACATATAATAACACATGCCAAACACAGACAATCCTAGACACTGCACTGCAATGATCTGTTTTGTAGAACTGTGATCCAGTGGAAAAGCAAGTGTTTTGGAGCAAACAGACCTTCATCATTTACTAACTATGCAGCCCTGTTATGAAATTCTTTATGAAATTATTTGTGTCACAGTTTCCTAATCTGTAGAATGAGAAAAATTCCAAACTCACGGAATTTTTATAAAGATAAAAGGATAATAAAAGATAAAAGGAAAACAGGTAAAGTGCTGGGTACTTGGTAGGTGCCTAGTTATTTTTTAAAGCTATGATGTAGAGGTGCATCTATGAAAGACTGACTTACTCACTTGGCAGAAACTGGTTGCTTCCATACAATCTCATAGTATTTTGAAAACTTTTCTTTTCAAAAGAAAGTTCTTTTCTTCAATGGTACTCAATAGTTTTTGATAAAAGATAAAACTCAGAATATTAATGTCCAAGAAATAGGAGTTAACATTTTCTTACCTATTGTGGTGCTTTCTTGAAAACAACCTTGTTATACAGCTATCTATGTTTCTTAAAATATAAAGAAAATGTTATATATTATCCCTTTAAATTTAAAATAAGTTAAAAATTAAAAACAACGCATCCTAAAAATTACAAATTGTTTAATTTCACAAATTTAGAAATTTTTTGAATTTAGAAGTTTGAACTTGGAAGTTTTGAATTTAGAAGAATTTTTATACTGTTTTTGCTTTCGAAGTCAGTGGTATATCCCTCTTTTCAATTCCAGATTTTGCAGTTCTACATTTATGTGTATTTTTGCACATTAAGACAAGAAAATAAGAGATTCTATGTATGTTTCTGATGGTCATTAAATATGATAATCATCTAAGCTTGAGTTAGCAAAAGAGTATACTTTTTAAAAAGAATACTTTTTTTAAAGAATTTTAAAATTTTCAGTACATTTTAGCCAATATGTCTAAGAAAGCAGTCAGTAGAATGGTAAGTAAGTTCTTCAGGGAAGGGTATAGTATTTTTTTCTCTATGTACATCAACAGGTCCGTAAGTGCCTGGGGAAATAAAGATACATTACAAAACGTTTATGGAATAAATAAATTCCAACATTATTCAAATATTTGTGCTTTTGATGAATATTACATATCATTACATATGACACTGTGTCACTTTACTTAGCTATTAGACTTCTCAACTTAAAGCAAATCATCAGGTAATTTTTATTGTCTTCAAACACCACTAGATTGATAATTCTGACCAAAACAGAAGCCACTGTTACTGCTGTTCTTGTTGGTGTTGTTTTTAATTGAGCTGGTTGCGAATTTGACTAAATTGACTTCAATCCTGTCCAAATGATTACATCAGCTGTGTCCACAGATACAAACTGCCTGAGCCTTCCTTTGATTTTTAAGTACACATTTTAAAATATTTCTTTATAAGCAAAAAGAAAGTGAGAGAAACTTTAAAAAACCATTTAATATTAAAGACTCCTATCTGGATGCTATTTTAGAATACAGAAGGCAGAGAATTTCTCTATGGGCTGGCAAATTTTAATACTCATCCAGAAGGTTGATTTATAATATCTTGATCACTGAAGTTTAATTGATTAATATTTATAAAATATTCAAAATGCAAATTCTCATTTATGATTCAAATATGAAAATATTTATATCAAGATTAGCATTTGCTATTTTGAGTTCAATCCACAATTCACTAAGAATCAATACAAGCACACACCAATAGAATAATAGAGTTTACATCAAATAAATACAGTATTTTAACTACATCACATTTAGTTACATTTATAAATAAGGTTAAACCATTTTTTCATAACAAATTTCATGAAATCATTCATGATTTATTGTATAAATTAATTTACTGGTTTTCAAACCTTGTCAAAAAAACACATAATCTATTTTGTACAATACACCTTATACATTGGGAGGTTGTTCATATAAAGTAAGAATTTGGCCAGGCACGGTGGCTCACACCTGTAATCTCAGCACTTTCAGAGGCCGAGGTGCACAGATCACTTAAGGCCCGGAGTTCAAGAACAGCCTGGTCAACATGGTAAAACCCCATCTCTACTAAAAATACAAAAATTGGCTGGGCATGGTGACCCACGCCTATAATCCCAGCTACTCAGGAGGCTGAAGCATGAGAATTGCTTGAACCCAGGAGGTGGCGGTTGCAGTGAGCTGAAATCACGCCACTGCACTCCATACTGGGTAACAGAGAGAGATTGTGTCTCAAAAACTTAAATTTAAAGTAAGAATTTACCATTTAGGATTTTGCCCATATAGACCTTAAATTACAACCTCAGTAATGTTATTAATGAATGTGTCATCATAACTAGCATGGACTGACTGCTTAGTATGTGCAAAGCACTATGATATGGTTTGGCTGTGTCCCCACTCAAATCTCATCTCAAACTGTAATCCGAATTGTAATCCCCATGTGTTGGGAGAGGGACCTGGTGGGAGGTAATTGGATCATGGGGGCGGTTTCCTCCATGCTGCTCTTGTGATAATGAGTTCTCATGAGATCTGATGGTTTTATAAATGGCAGTTTCTCCTGAGCTTGAGCTCTCTTTCCTGCCATCTTGTGAAGAAGGTGCTTGCTTCTCCTTCACCTTCCAGTATTACTGTAAGTTTCCTGAGGCCTCCGCAGCCATGCAGAACTGTGAGTCAATTAAACCTTTTTCCTTTATAAATTGCCCAGTCTTGGGTATTTATAGCAGTGTGAAAATGGACTAATATGTAAGTGTTCCATAGATGTTACTGACTCCCATAACAATCCTAAATGTCTACTGCACAGACGTTTATTATCCTTACTTCACAGAAAAGGAAACTGAGATCTGAAGTAAATTACCCAAGGTTAGTCAGAAAGCAAGTGGCACAATCAGACTTCAAACCAGGCTCCTCCTCCTAACCATTCCCTTATAGAGTGCATAATGAGACCAAGTGTTCATTTAAATCTCTTGGCTTTGATAATGAAAAAAGAAAAATCTTGACAACAGAGCAGTTTAAAAGGTAAAGCATATCACTAAGTCCCCAAAAGCAACTGCAACAAAAATGAAAACTGACAAGTGAAACCTAATTAAACTAAAAAGCTTCTGCAGAGTAAAATAAATTACCAACAGAGTAAACAGACAGCCTACAGAATGGGAGAAAATATTTACAAACTATGCATCTGACAAAGGTCAAATATCCAGAATCAAAAAAGGACTTAAATCAACAAGCAAAAAAACAAACAATCCAATTTAAAAATGGGCAAAAAACATGAAATACAATTCTCTAAACAAGACATACAAGCAACAACAAACATAAGAAAAAATGCTCCACATCACTAATCATCAGAGAAATGCAAATCAAAACCACAATGAGATACCATCTCACACCAGTCAGTTGGCTAAAATAACAACTTTAGAAAGTCAAAAAATAACAAAACCTGGTGAGGCTGTGGAGAAAAAGGAACGCTTATACACTGTTGGTGGGAAATGCAAACTAATTCAGCCACTGTGGAAAGCAATTTGGAGATTTCTCGAAGAACTTAAAAAGCTACCATTTGACCCAGCAATCCTCCTACTGGGTATATGCCCAAAAGAAAATAATTCATTCTATCAAAAAGACAAACGCACTTACTTGTTCACTGCAGTGCTATTCACAATAGCAAAGACATGAAATCTACCTATGTGCCCTTCAACAGTGAACTGGATAAAGAAAATGTGGTACATTTACACCATGGAATATTACACAGCCATAAAAAAGAATGGAATCATGTCCTTTGCAGCAACATGGATGGAGTTAGAGGTAATTATCCTAGGCAAATTAATGCAAGAACAGAAAACCAAATACCACGTGTTCTCACATATAAATGGGAGCTAAGCATTAAACACACATAGACAAAAAGATGGGAACAATGGACACTGGGACTACCAGACAAATTAGAAGGGAGTGGAAAAGAGGCTGAAAAACCACCTACTGAGTACTATGCTCACTACCTGGGTGATGGGATCATCTGTACCCTAAACCTCAGCATCATGCAATATACGCATTTAACGAACCTGCACATGTACTCCTTAATCTACTATTACTTTATCAATAGTAATCAATAGTACAACAGCAACAACAATAGTAGAAAATGTCAAACTTTGTCAAAAGCTGAAATTATAAAAAATAAAAATAAAAAAGATACAGCATAGTTCATTAATTTTTGAGTCTTCAAATCTAAATTTATACTTTAATCAACTTACATTTGCATCTATATCAACAGTAATCAATAGTACAACAGCAACAGCAATAGTAGAAAATGTCATACTTTGTCAGTCAATAATATTACCTTCTTTTTATCACTATGCTGGGCCCTTTTCAAAAATACTCACTCAAGCCGTATTTATTTTGATCCTTACAACAAACTCTGATGTTAGGAAAAACAGGTATCGCCATCCCTGTTTAACAAGATTATTAAGATGCAGAAACTTCATATCCAGAAGTTAGGAGGCTGCCAAGGATTCCAAAGCTCTTTGACTTTGTACCTCCAAAGCTTAGAACAGAGTTTGACACATACAAACTCAATATACATCTATATAGGACAATAACTTGAGTCTTCTATTTGTAAACCAGTATTCTCTTGCCACACTATCATACCACTCTCACAGGGCTCTAAGCATGTCTTGGAGCAAAATGCATGGGAATTATGATTTATCAATTTTCTAGCCAGGCATGGTGACACACACCTGGAATCCCAGCTACTTGGAAGGCTGAGGCAGGAGAACTGCTTGAACCCGGGAGGCAGAGGTTGCAGTGAGCTAAGATCACGCCATTGCACTCCAGCCTGGGCAACAAGAGCAAAACTCCATCTCCAAAAAAAAAAAAAGGAATTATGATTTATCAATTTTCATGGTCAAAATCTCTGATTCAAAATACTGTACATTATTTTTGTTACTAGAAAAAATAGGTAAAATATATTTATCAATAATATGACTTATGAAAAGCATACAATGCCTTCTAAAAGTGAGGTCCATATAGTAAAATGAAAGCAGCAAATTAACAGTTGTTAATTGTGTAGCTGATGTTATAATTTCCTTTAGAAGGTATTTTTGAGGATGCATCATTCACTATTTTTTGGTTTTTTATTCGCCCACAGAGGCGGGAATAAACATTTCTTTCCTACATGGCTGCTCCAAGATTGAGATATTATTCTGAAAGTGCTCAGTATGGAGCCTTGCTTAATAAACATTCATTTAATCATTTTAAATAAGTCTAAGTAATTCAAAATGACAAAATGAAATCTGTACCCATAGATTTCTAATTGTTGCATGAACCTGGCTTTCCAATCATTTTTATATTAGTAGTTCGTTATTTAAATTCAATTTTTAAAAGTGTTACTGAGTTTTTCTAATTACTTTTATTATGTATATCATAAGAAATTTAGAAAAGGAAAAATAAAAAAAAAATCATCTATCTCACTTCAAGCTAGACATAACGACTGTTAGAATTTTCGAGAATTTGTTTATATTTTAACTAAAAAGGGAAAAAGAAATATAAGGGTGAAGACAAATGAAAAGTGGGAACAGAATTTAAAATCCACGTTATAATGCCCTATATTCCTGCCCTTTGGGCCCCAAATTTGGCTCTCAGCTCTAGGGCAGTCAACACAAGATGGAAAAACGTTAATAACACACTTCACGCTGTCAATAAGATTAAAAACATAGGAATGGCTCAAGAGACGAACAACTATTCTTGGGATTAAAATTTAACAGAGAATTTTCCCCCAGGTTCCTCAAAAGAACACTGTATAACAAATAATGTATTGGCCTTCCCTAAGACCTCAGTTGCACAGGAGCATACTATCCAACCAGCCTCGAAACGGGCTAATGGCATCACCACAAATCATTCTGCATTTCATTAATGCAATACCTTTGGCACACGACCCTTTAATATAACTTGGTTCAGGACTATATTTTTAAAAATCTGGGAGAAGGGACAGAATGTATGTTCTTCAATCAATTATTCATACAGGCTCTCTCTCACGGATACTACTGAGGAACAACCATCAGCATAATGCCTGGAGTACAGTTCTCTTTGTTGTCAGTTAAATAGAGAACCACATGCCATAACATATAAGAGAACTGTAAAAGGTAGTCTTCCAGAACCAAGCACCTAAACACATGATATCCCCTGACAGGGAGAGTACTATTCCAACATCCTGATGTTCTCCAAAAGCCATTCTGAAGACTCAAAACCCTGGATTAAAAATAAATCTTAATACTTACCTTTAAAATAATCTGAGGAGAAAGGGATAAAGGGGTGACAACTGAGGAACAAAAAATGATTAATGAAAAAAGCCTGTCTATATTTAGATGTTTATTAAGGCTGGGTACTGAAGATGGTATAGGAAGTCCATCATTTAAAGTGAAAATAAAGCCTAAGCTTGTACAGTCTAGCTTTAATATGCTCTTTCAGAAAATTTAAATTTATCGTAAAAATAAAGATACCAAGAAACTGAAGACATACATATATATTTTATATATAATTACATGTGTTTTTACATACACATATATTTACGGATGTATTTTTTACATATACAAACACACACACACACATATAACTGCCTCTTTTGAACCAATTATAAACTTGGAAACATTTGGCAACATAAGAAATTTAGATTTAGAAAAGTTTATAGGTACTTATTTTTATGGCAATAATTAACAGGGTCAGCCTCTAGGCTGAAATCCCTGTAATTCCAAATAATAAAACAGATCTGCCTATAAAAGAATAGTGTATTTGTGTTCACTACAACAGGAATTGAAGCTCAATCAAAAGCACTGTAAAATGATTAAGAAAAAAGTTAAAAGGGAAGAGGAACCATTGTTTATTCAGATTTATTAAACCGCCTGAAAAAGCTTAAGTTCCATAAATATAGTCTGGTAGTTAAATACATAAACTTTGGGCTTGATGCCTGAATTTAAAATCCCAACTCTGCCACTACCTATATAATCCAGGGCAATTCTTTCTGTGCCCCAATTTCCTCACCTGCAAAATAAGGATAATAGATGTTTACCTCTTAGGTTCTTTTGCAAATTAAATGTATTAAATGTCTAGGTAGGACCCTTAGAAGAGTGTCTGGTATAGTAACAGCTGATAAATGTTAGCTATATTAAGGATAATAACACTAGCAATAATAATTGCTATTATTACTGCCATATAGCAATAATTGCTATTATATTTTAACTGACCTATGAGAAGTGGATTCCTACTGATCTTTATGCCAGTACTCCCCTTACTGGGCAGGTTCTGATGGAGCTTAAATAATTAGGGATATATGCTGAGTTCAAACAGCTTAGCTCATAATTCTTATCCATAGATTCAAAGGCCAAGGTGGATTAATAAAACCTGAAAACAACTTAATATTATTCCCTGTTTAAAGAGGCAGTACAAGAATGATACCTAAATCCTAACACTCCTATTGTAAAATCATCGGTCTAAAATACTTAGATTTGAATTTTCAGTTGGAAATCAACTTGGACAAAAAGCCAATAAATCAATAATTTGTGGGGAATACGTGGTCACTTTTTTGGATGACATTGCACTCTGAATCTGCCAAACGAATGACACTTCCTAAACTGATTTTCAGGTACACCACAACGGGAATTACTGGACTGTGGTCTGCCAAATACATACCAATGTACTTTGGGCAAACGGTTGCATGCTACAGGCTGAAATGAGTGTAACTTCTACAGTCACCCCTGAGAAGGGTTTGGCGCTCAACCGAGGGGATTGTTTCCAGCTCCCTCAGCCCAAAAATGAAAGAGAAGTCAGACACAAAACTCTTGAAGGAGAAAGGTGGAATCACACTACATCATCAAGAGGGCCGGAACCTGGACCAATTCCTAAAATTTGACCAAGTTTCCCAGTAGGGACTCTAGTCTTCCATGTCCCTGCACTTCAAGGAATGTGGGTGTCCTATGGTCTATAATCCAAAACTTAATAGGAGGAATGCTTTTTGTGTATCAAGAGGCCTACTCTTAAAATGCCTAGGTAAAATATATACTTGATAACTTTAAATAACCATTTGCCAGCAGGAAAAAAAAAAAGTATTGATTTGTGAAAATCCAAGTTGGGATAACCATCTTCTGACCAGCTTCTCAGTTCTTTAATAAAATCTTGCCAGGAAAGGAAACTGACCAGCCTTGTAATAAGTATCTCAGAAGCAAGACAGCTTAAAAACAGTGCTAGAAACATGGCTGAAAATCACTACTGTTCCACCTCCCATGAATGATTGACGTGCACCAAGGGCTGGGAGAAGCCCTCCTCAAGGTTGACTGCAGAAGTTACACCCACTTCAGGCTTACAGCACGCAACTGTTTGCTTAAAATACAGCGGGTATGTATTTGGGAAACGACAGATTAATCATTCAAGAACTGAATGTTATGTTAACGGGCAACAAGGCTCCAGAAAATCAAATATAATATCCACCCAGCGGGGCTTATAACTCTCGAGAAAGTCAACTCATGAGTATCCCTGAGACATTTAAGAATATCTGAGAAGGCTTAAACACTGCATGAGAAAACAAATTATAAAGAGAAAAAAGATAAAAACAGTAAGGCAGAAAATTTAAAACACATGAGGTGTAAATCTGGATTGTCAAGAACTAAAATCAATGAGAAAATTTTTAAAGTTAGAAAAACCCTTTTAAAAATCCCAGAAAATAAGACAATAAACACACACACATAGAAATGGATACAGATATGTAATTTAATACCCACCATCTAGTATATAATAAGTATTGAAAGTATAAATAAAAATGATTTTTTAAAGTAAGCGTTAAGTTTAAGTCATGTAAAAAGCTGAAATCTAGGCTGGGTGTAGTAGGCCATGCCTGCAACCCCAGCACTTTGGGAAGCCAAGGCAGGAGGATCACTTGAGCCCAGGAGTTCAAGACCAGCCTGGGCAACACAGGGAGACTCCGTCTCTACAGAAAATTTAAAAATTAACTGGGCATGGTGGTATGCTCCAGTGGTTCCAGCTACTGGGATGCCCAGGCAGGAAGATCGCTTGAGCCCAGGAGGTCAAGGCTGCAGTGAGCCATGATTGCACGTCCCAGGCAGAGTGAGACCTTGTATCAATTTAACCAAAAAAAAAAAGCTAAACTCTGACTTAAGAAATTCAGAGCAGAGTAACTGAGATGTAAAATGTAAAAAGTTAAAGTAACTAAGGTTATGAATTGACAGGAAATGAGGAAAAGGTAAATGTTTTTAAACTGCAATCTGACTCACATCAAAGCAGCCAAACAAGTGACTAAAAAGTTCTTGGCTGGAGGCCACTCTGCTGAATGTTCCCTGTCAGCCCATCTGAGTTTCTCAAATTCACTTCACAGGTGAGTGGGAAGCAGGGAAGAAAAAACAAACAATGACAAAGAGACTTCCAGCTAACATGGGGTGATTGGGTGAGTCTGTTATTTTCTGATTTTTTTCTCCAAAGACTTTATTGTTTCCTCAGCATCACTGTCTCTCTTACCACTATATTTTGTTTGTCAGGCTTTTTATTATTCGCATAATTTTGTTCTTAAAATCTACAGGTAAATTAGGCTGAGATTTGACAAGTAAAATCTTGAAATGTTTTTCATAATATTTCAACTAGGTATCCACTAACAATCACAAAAGACTCTTTCTGTTCCAGACTCAATTCAACAAATATTTATTCAGGCCCTACCATAAAATGTTCTCAGAAAGGAAGGCTTTCACTATCTTTAAATCTTTGACCCAGTTAGTTGAGAGGACTATCAAATCCCCAGAAGCGACCCAAATCTCCGGGGCTTCTGTTTGTTTCCTCCAGCAACGTCCAATATTCTCCCTAGCTACATCTTATCTCACAAAATCCTTTTAAAAATTATTTGAATAATAATTATGGATCAAAGGTAGAAAAGAACAATTACTAGAAAGCAAAGAGCCCAGGTATAACAAAAGACTTAAATTTTTATACACATAGACCACACAATTCTGCTTCTAAGAGCATAACAAGAAAATAATGAGACAAATCATTCATTCAATCATTCAGTGCCAGGCACTGTTCTGGATATCTGAGATATAACAGTGAAAAAAATAGGCAAAGATCCCTGGTCGTGTGGTGTTTATACTCTCGTGTGATTGACCCAATCTTACTAAATTTACTGAATAAAGATAATCCTGAAACTTTTTGTATAAACCAAAGTTTTCTCAATCAGAATATACTTCAAATTACCAAAGACAGCTCTACAGTACTTAATAAGCAAGCAACTGTTTCTTTTGCAAAAGAAAGGACTTTTAGTGAAACATGGACGTGTCAAAGATGACATTCATATTTGTGTCTAAAAATAAGATTTGTACTTCAGATTTCTAAAGAATACTGCAGAGTAGAACAAACTGGATAAGAATAAAATGGAGTTTTTTACTACTAAGGAATTGTTTTATGGAATTTTCTTAAACATGTATAGAGATGTATATTTTCCAAACTGTTTTTAAAAGATCAAAGTGAAATGTGACACATATTTTTAAAAATCAAGCCAGTTCTTACTAAAGAAGAGCAGGAAAGTTGAAAGTGTAAGGCTGTGGTTTTATAGTTTATTTGTTCACCGTGAAACTGTTAGATATATTTCATATGTAGTCTACTCAGTAATCCATTTAAGTGTTGGTTATTGAATCTAACAGTTTATTCCGCATCTTGTACTTACATCATCTTGATCTTTCTGTGTAAAGACAAAGCAAAAAAAAAAAAAAAACTTATGCACTTGCACTTTTCAAACTGAAAAAAGCAAAGAATCATTATAATTCTGAAATAAAAACAACAATTTAATCTTAGGAATTAATTTTAGTAATATTAACAGATAATATCAAAATAAGTTCAATATGCATATTACATCAGTAATCTTTTTTTCTTGAGTCAGAGACTCACACTGTCGCCAGGGATGGTGTGCAATGGCATGATAGCTCAACGCGACCTCCACCTCCCAGGTTCAAGAGATTCTTCTGCCTCAGCCTCCCAAATAGCTGGGATAACAGGCGCCCACCACCACACCTGGCTAATTTTTCCGTAGAGACGGGGTTTCACTATGTTGGCCAGGCTGGTCTCGAACTTCTGACCTCATGATCCGCCCGCCTCAGCCTCCCAAAGTGCTGGGATTACAGGCGTGAGCCACCAAACCCAGCCTACATTGGTCAATTTTTAAAATATCCTACAGCTTATGCATAAGGACATTTCAAAGAAAAACAAACAAAAAAATAGAATCCTAAATTTCAAAGAGTAGGGTACAAGTTAAATATACTGCAATAAATCTATATACCAATTCTAGTTAGACACTAGAAAGTGGTGTCATGAGTGTTCTTTCATTTCCAGAGGAAGATATCGAGTAAGAACAATGGTCTTATGAGTTGTGACTAGACGGTTTTAAGAGGTGACAGTGTGCTGGCAGCCCTCGCTCATTCTGGGCACCTCCTTGGCCTCAGCACCCACTCTGGCCACGCTTGAGGAGCCCTTTAGCCCACTGCTGCACTATGGGAGCCCCTCTCTGGACTAGCCAAGGTCAGAGCTGGCTCCCTCTGCTTGCAGTGAGGTGTGGAGGGAGAAGCGCAAGCGGGAACCAGGGCTGCGAGTGGCGCTCACGGGTCAGCATGAGTTCCGGGTGGGCGTGGGCTTGGCGGGCCCCACACTCAGAGTGGCTGGCCGGCGCTGCCAGCCCCAGGCAGTGAGGGGCTTAGCACCTGGGCCAGCAGCTGTGGAGGGTGCGCCAGGTCCCCCAGCAGTGCCAGCCCACCAGCGCTGCACTTGAATTCTCGCAGGGCCTCAGCTGTCTCCCCATGGGGCAGGGCTCAGGACCTGCAGCCCGCCATGCCCGAGCCTCCCCCCTACCCAACCCCCCCCGCCCCCCATGGGCTCCTGCACAGCCCGAGCCTCCCCAGTGAGTGCCATCCCCGCTCCATGGCGCCCAGTCCCATCAACTGCCCAAGGGCTGAGGAGTGTGGGCACACGGTGCAGGACTGACAGGCAGCTCCACCTGCGGCCTGGGTGCAGGATCCACTAGGTGAAGCCAGCTGGGCTCCTGAGTCTAGTAGGGACTCGGAGAACCTTTATGTCTAGCTAAGGGATTGTAGATACACCAATCAGCCCTCTGTGTCTAGCTCAAGGTTTGTGAATGCACCATTCAGCACTCTGTATCTGGCTAATCTGGTGGGGACTTGGAGAACCTTTATGTCTAGCTAAGGGATTGTAAATACACCAGTCAGCACTCTGTGTCTAGCTCAAGGTTTGTAAATACACCAATCAGCACTCTGTGTCTAGCTCAAGGTTTGTAAACACACCAATCAGCACTCTGTAGCTAGCTAATCTGGTGGGGACTTGGAGAATCTTTACGTCTAGCTAAAGGATTGTAAACACACCAATCAGCACCCTGTGTCTAGCTCAAGGTTTGTAAACACACCAATCAGTGCTCTGTGTCTAGCTAATCTAGTGGGGACTGGGAGAACTTTTGTGTCCAGCTCAGGGATTGTAAATGCACCAATCAGCACCCTGTCAAAACAGACCAATCAGCTCTCTGTAAAACAGACCAATCAGCTCTCTGTAAAATGGACCAATCAGCAGAGTAAAAGCAGGCTGCCCTAGCCAGCAGTGGCAACCTGCTGGGGTCCCCTTCCACACTGTGGAAGCTTTGTTCTTTCACTCTTTGCAATAAATCTTGTTGCTGCTCACTCTTTGGGTCCACACTGCCTTTATGAGCTGTAACACTCACTGCGAAGGTCTGCAACTTCACTCCTGAGGCCAGTGAGACCATGAACCTACTGGGAGGAATGAACAACTCCGGATGGGAGGAACGAACAACTCCAGACGCGCCGCCTTAAGAGCTGTGACACTCACCGCGAAGGTCTGCAGCTTCACTCATGAAGCCAGCAAGACCACGAGCCCACCAGAAGGAATAAACTCTGAACACGTCCGAACATCAGAAGGAACAAACTCTGGACACACCACCTTTAAGAACTGTAACACTCAACGCGAGGGTCCGTGGCTTCATTGTTGAAGTCAGCGAGGCCAAGAACCCACCAATTTTGGACACAGTTTCACAAAGCCCTAGAGACTGCCAACATTCAATCACATACTTAATATCTATAAGAATTAATGTAGCCTTAAGAGAAAGAAAGATTATGAAAGTGTAGTATTTCATCAACTTCAATAGTCTTTCATGTAGATAAAAAAGAGATTTGCCTATCTTAAGAGCTAACGGAATTAAAAATCCAATCAAGTGATCAATCAAGGAAGGAATTTGAGACTTGTTAGGACAAAGAGGTAATATATAAATGGAATCCAGGGATGTGGGATACACGATTCCCCCTTTCTTGAAGTGATAGAATCACTGATAGAAATAGGGTTCTGTGGAGTTGATCTATACTTGTCACAAAAATCCAATCTTTGTCCCAGCTAAAAGCCTTGGTGTTTGTGCAACTTTAATCGAGCCAATAAGACAACTGCAAAATTATATGACAAGGTGAGAAGGGAACTCCAGAAATTGTGTGGAATCACACAATTATTTCACAGGTGAAAAAATATCTTTCAAACATGGGAAGGTTTGAAATTAAACATAGAGAAGTTTAAGAGAATCAAAACCATAATATCATTACTTTTGTGCATACTATATACATATGATTAAGTAATTAATTTTGGCTTGTGTGTGTGGTATCGGAATATTGAAAAACTTAAACTTTGCAATACTTATGTTTAATTTATTAGGTGTGTAAGAACTACTTAAGAACATATAAAGGTTTATCAAGCAGGTGATTGAAGTATTTAAAGGAAATCAAATATCTTAAATTTAGAAGTGCAATTTCAAATGTTTGAAAGCATTTAATAATTAAGTTTGTAAAGGATACCATAATTCTTCAAAGATTGTTGAATGTGGTTGTTCAAATCTGTTAGACTTATTAAAATTTATATTTTTAAGTTCTACTAGAAAGATTAAGAAGTAACATCTGAATCTACAACTTTAATAACTTGAATATTAAATTATAAAACCAATGTACATATCTGAAGTCTTTTCTTCACATAAAACTATCCCCAAGGGCACTGAACATTTTATATTTCAAAACTGACATAGAAGTATCAAATAAAAAGAGCAAATAAAAGCATATTTGAATTTGGATGAGCATATTTGCTTACAGAAAAAAATAAGATATCCACCAAAATATTAACTATATTTAACTCTGAGTAGTATGATCCACTTTGGGGCTTATCTGAATTTCTCACCTTTTCTGCAATGAGTGTGACATATTAGTTTCTTACTGTTCCTGTAACAATTTACCATAAACTTAGTGGCTTTACTAAACAAAAATTTATTATCTTACTGTTTCGGAGATCAGAAGTCCAAACCAGTTTTTCTAGGCAAAAGTCAAAATGTGGTTCCTTCTGGAAGGAAGAAATCTTTTCTAGCCTTTTGCAGCTTCTAGCTTTTCCTATGTTCCTTGGCTCATGAGCTACTCCTCGAATAATTCCAACATCTTGTTTCTGTTGTCACATCTCCTACTACATGACTCTACCTCCTCCTGCTTTCCTCTTACAGCCTATTTAATTCCTTGGCTCATGGCCCATTTCTTCCATCTGCAAAGTCAGCAAAAGGGCACTGAATCTCTCATTCTTTGAATCGCTCCTGCTCTTCATATTCACCTGTCTGACCTAGTTAGGAGAACTGTCCACTTTTAAGGTCTTATGCGATTGGACTGGACCCACCTGGATAACACAGTATCATCTCCCTGTTTCAAAATCCTTAACAACATCTACAAAGTCCCATTTGACCTATAAGGTAACATTCAAAGGTTCCAGGGATTAGGATGTAGACATCTTGGAGGGTCATTATTTAGCCTACCACGAAGTGTTATTTTGTAATTTTCAAAAAAAAACAATTATTTAATTAAAGTATAAAAATCATAATTTTCCACATGGAGAAAATTCTAAACAGGAATGATTAAATCAAGTTCCTTTTCAAGTGGCTTTTGTCCCCTGACTTGCATTATTTTTCAGAGCCAGAATATTCAACATTGTGACTTCCAAACCTATAATTCTTAACATGACTTCAATAGTATATTCATCAACAGAAACCAAGTATAGAGTAATAGGTATAACTCACATATCTGCTTCACCCAGACCATGACTCTGAACATCTTAAGCAAATATGCGCTACAGTCCGTACATTCCTATTTTGGGACAACCCAACTTCCAAAATTTTCTCTCTCTTATTTGCCTACTTATTTTTTAAATAAAAAACAAATTTTCTAAATAATCAAAGACATCTGTATATAGTGTTCCTCCTTTTTTAGCTAACCGTATTTTCTCCAGTGAAAAGAACACAATAAAGTACAACTTGAAACTATGATACACAGTGTCACCCTTCTGCATCTAAGTCCATGTATTTTGCCTTTGTCATTACTGTGAAGAGCACTTTACGCTACAGCTTCAAAGCAGGCTTTTCTGTTTAACTACTTGAATTAATAAAGGTATTATGTACCTCCAGAATCAATTTAGTATGTACTACCACAATAATCAAAGTTATTTGCTGTTTGATACAAATGCACTATTGCAGTATCTTGGATTACTGACTGGTTGAAAAAGAGCATTGAAACTACTTTATATATTACATTCAAAGTGAGACTAAGCAATTAGCTTACGAAATGAATTCTAAATGTTAGTTGTCTTTTCATTTTTAAGTTATACAGAAACATTTGTTTCAAAGTGGATAACATTCTAACCTAAGTAGGGTGTTTGTTTTTGTTTTTAGCTTAAACCATTTAGAAGAGTTACCAAAAATGACATGGTTAATATACATGATTTGATGACTCTTTCTATGAAATGTAAGTTTTACCTTTCTCCTTAAATGTACAGGTTTTTTGGCCAAAAGGTAATAAAATGTGTGCCCTAAGTCAGGTTTTTCTTTCTGTTTTTCTTTACTGTTTGTTTTTGTTAGTGAATATACAATTTAAAAGAATTCCAGGACAACAGGCATGGAATTGGGACTGTCCTGGACAACAGAGCATATGGTCAGCCTATTTAATTTAGTGTATTAGAGCAACTCCTCTCCATTAATCCATCCTCACTCTATGTTTACTTTTGCTCCTTATCCTTCTCAAAGAATTGAAAAAAAGGCAAAGATCATGCAAGATGTAGTTTTTCATTCTTCAAAAATGTATGGAAGCCACTGGGTTTATGTAAATATTGTTAAGATCTACATCCTAGTTGACATTCCACATTAGTAGATGAAATTAACATCTGTCACAAAGGTTGCTCTGAAGTTAATCAGTTATTTCTGAGTACTCGTAATTTGGTAAAGGAAAGCTAGGCATGCGTGATTCGCTTTACCACTCAAGCAACAACTGACGCCCTGTGTCCAACTAGCTAAGATGAGTTATCTGAAGATAAGGTTTACAAGGCACAGTACTTGACTAACAGATATCTAGTAAATTCAGACCTCTAGTACAGCTGGAGATGTCTGCTGCCTTTTCATTAGCAAGATACTACCAGTAACTCGTGAAAAGAGAAGTCTCTATGTAAGTTGTCCATTGTACTAAAGTTCAAAAGTTCCAAATACATCAAAGAAAAGCACCTTTCTAGTACATTAGGGAAAACTACTTTACTGTATGCTATGCAGTACTCATTCAGGGCAGGAACCGTTAGAATCGAACTGAATTGTGAATGTGCTTTAGGTCAAGTCATCTCTCTTTATATATAGACACACTTACATCTACATTTTTGTAAAGTTTGAGGAAAGTACAATTAGTCTACGAGGGAAGTTACGTGTTGGCATTAGCCCTGGACACAGACAATGTGAAAGGATGCAAGGCAATTCACAATTCAATTCAACCGCTGAAGTGGAAAGAAAACTTCTACTTAGCTGGTGATTGATCATGTACAAGTGGGAGTAAGTTTACCTTCAGGTGGCTTCACTCATAATTGACAAAAAATAAGCAAGCAAACAAACTTTATTAAAAGAATAAACATACATATTTGTGAAGAATGACCCTTAGCAAATATACAACCCAAATACTACTTCTAAAAGGAAAGCAGGCCGGGCACAGTGGCTCACGCCTGTAATCTCAGCACTTTGAGAGGCCAAGGCGGGTTCGAGACCAGCCTGGTCAACAGAGTAAAACCCTATCTCTACAAAAAATACAAAAATTAGCTAGGCGTGGTGGCACATGCCTGTAATCCCAGCTACTCAGGAGGCTGAGGCAGAAGAATTGCTTGAACCGGCAGGTGGAGGTTACAGTGAGCTGAGATCACACTGCACTCCAGTCTGGGGGACAGAGCAACACTCCATCTCTAAATAAATAAATA